>NC_000003.12:124008604-124160119 GCF_000001405.40 Homo sapiens | reverse complement strand
CTGCAAAGACCCTATTTCCAAGTAAGGTCACATTCTAAGATTTCAGATAGATATGAACTTTCAAGGGACATTTATTCAACTCAGTACACCCACCTTCCTTCACCAAGGTATGTCAAATTCAATTTCTTATTTTCTTTGGGTTTCGTTTTCGTTTTTTCATCTAGCACCTGCTCCATCTCAATCCTGCTCATCATCACTGCTATGCTGGAAACCCTTCTGAGAATCCTGCTTCCATCTCCCCCCATACCCATCAGTACCTCTAGTCCTCACTTTACAACGGGTATATGAACACCGGATTAAGAAGGAAATGATGCTAAATTGTCCAGAGAGAGTTCATTATTTCAAGCATTCATCTCTCCCCATTTACCCAAGAAATAGCATGTGTTCATCTCACATTTTGCCCTGGACTGGAGGGTCTAACAGTTCCTACCCTCAGGTATTACGCATCAGAGAAATGGGCTACTGCACAGCTAGAGGAGCAGAGAAGGCAAAATGTAACCAGTTAACTTTAAAAGAGATAGAAAGTTTAAAAAAAAAAAAAAAAAGCCAGCCAGGTGCAGTGGCTCATGCCTGTAATCCCAGCACTTTGGGAGGCCAAGGCTAGTGGATCACTGGAGCTCATGAGTTCAAGACCAGCCTTGGCAACAGGGCAAAACCCCATCTCTACAAAAAATACAAAAAATGGGTCAGGCGTGGTGGCACATGCTTATAGTCCCAGCTACTTGGGGGGCTGAGGTAGGAGGGTCACTTGAGCCCAGAAGCTCAAAGCTGTGGTGATCTGAGATTGCACCACTGCACTCCAGCTTGAGTGACAAACTAAGACCCTGTCTCAAAAACAAACAAACAAAAACGAAAGAAAGAAAAGAAAAAGCCATGTGGGCCAAGGGTTAGGGAGGTGTGGCATAAGCCAAGTACTCAAGGAGGAACTGAATTTGAGCAGATGGAGGGAGGTGAGCTCAGAAGACATGGGGAAAAATCTGGGGAAAGGCATAGAGGTACAAATAAGCCTGGAATTTTTAGGGGACTATGAGAAGACCCCATCTGACTAGATGGTGGGTTTCACTGCAGAGGGCAGGCTTTATCAGTGATAAGGTTGTAAAGGCAATTGTTTGTAGATGTATACCTGATCCTATAGGGCCCTGAGTCCAGGCCAACAGGACCCGTTAAGGGGTTCTAAGCAACTGGGGAGTTTGACTAAGAGGTGTTCAGGGAAGCCAGATCTGGTTGGGTGTGCATCATGGACTAGGGGGAGTAGGGGGATGGCAAGGAAGACCTGGATGGAAGCCCAGTTAAGAAGACAGGCTCCAGAGCCAGAGCTTTATTTCTCCACTGTCAGTGGCCTTGCAAAAGCCAAGTGAATCCCCATCCATTGCCGTAATCTTCCGTCAGACTCTGCAATCAATATAGCCATCCTGACATGGCTTGGCGGGTGGTGGGGGGAGGAGGGTACCCTGGCTGGCCTCCAGCCCTTCTTTCCCATTAACATGATGAGTTGCAGAGGGCATGTCAGGGATTGCTTTCAGTGAATTCTAGGAATGGAGATCCCTTTGCATAAAAATCCCCAAACAGGCAAAGAGAAACTCAACAGTGTTTTGCAAATCACCACATGAATGCCTCTTGGGGACAATGGCCTCTCCAGAGAGGACAGAATCACCATCTCAGCTCAGATCCGGCTTCTACTGATGCACTAGCCTAGGACTGGTGCTGGCATCTGAGAGGTAATGAAGAAACGCTCAGCTCAGGCATCACTTTATACCAGAGGCCATCAGATAAGCAATTATCATCTCCTCAGTAGACTGGGAGCTTCCTGGGAGAAGTGGGCTATCTCTTCCACAATGTTCCCATCTAGGTCCTTCTAGTCACCAGGCAGAAGCCCAGAGGAGGCTGTAAACACACTCCCATCTACTCCACCCTCCTCATTCAGCCACAAACATCCCTGCTTCAGGAGCAGAGGGTGGGGTGGAGGTGACACAAAGCAGGCAGAAACAAACCCTGAGTGTGACGGGTAGAATAATTTCTGAAGTTTACAAGGCACACCTGTGAGCCTCTCTGCGTAGACCAGTCTATCCTAGGAGAAAGATGGGCAGGAAAAGGGGAGCCCTGAGGAGCAGAAGAAGAGCTGACTCTGATGTTTCCTTTCTCCTTAACAGTGCTCTGTACTCCATCACAGGAGGTTCCCACAGGTCCCAGACCCACAGCCACTGCACCTGGAGCAACAGGACTCAGGAAGGAGCTGGGACCAGGGGCATTCGCAGGGGAAAGGGGCAGAGGTGGAATTTTCTGAATGCAGTTAAGACAAAAGGGAAGAAAAGACACACTCTCCTCTTCTCCTCTGCTGCACTGGAAACTCAAGCTTTATCAGAAATACCACACAGGACAGCAGTCCACAAGGAAAAGGACCCTCCTGCAGATGGTTTTCCTTTTTTTAGTGATCAGTGTAACTTGAAAGACATAACTTCTACCCCCCTTATTTCGGAAAGGGATGCAAACAAATGATCTATTTGTACTAAAACTAAACTCCCTCTGCGTGTAACTTCTTAAAGGTATTTATACATTGAATCTGACTCACACTTTTGATGTGGAAAAGTTTTATTAACATAACTACTTATCCCAGCCTACTCCCATTGGGATTCATGGCTCTTGCCCAAAAGACATTTCGGGTATTTCTATGTTACCTTAAATCCTGGCAGTGATTGGTGTTTCATAACAAGCACATTCACAGATTCCACGACAAACTCCTAGCTGTCTTTGGGTTACAATTAGGAAGTGAAATTGGAAGTGAGAAGCAGCCCTGTCTACACGAACAAAGAGCCCCAGACTGAGGGTCTGGAGATTCAGGACCCTATTCCACCACTGCCTGTGTGGTCCAGTCACTTGCCTCCTCAGGGTCCTTGTCTGTAGAATGACATTGCTGGCCTAGCACAGTCCTTAGTTGTCTTCCAGCTCTGACTTCCTGTGATTATAACAGAAGTTTAAAAATATCTCTAGAGAGATAAATCTCACAATATTATGTAGTCATGAAAAGACTGAACTAATGGCATCTAATATCTCTGGGTTCTGAAAGTCTGTGACTCTATTATATACAATGGTTTTTAAATGTGCAGAGATTAAGAAACATAAACACAAAACAGAAGAGTCTCTTTAAAAAGCTATTTTAAAAGAACAGACATTAAAGAGCCTAAAATAGCCATTCTGTGTACATATAGAGCAAATGGGTGAACAAAATCAAAATTATGCAACGTCTAGGGTGGCAAAGGCTTGTAGTGACTGGGACTCTTTCCTGATGAAAATAAGGCATGACAATTGGGACATTATGCCACAGTCCTAACTCCATGTCATTGTTTTATCTTTTGTCATTGGGCACAGGGAAAACACAGGACCCCAACACATGGATGGCATTATGCGAAAAAGATTAATTCTCTCTTGACAAGTGCACTGCTTTGTCCTGAGCTCAATGGCAGATCCTGGGGCAGCAGCGAAGCATCTCAAGATACTTAAGAACTTAGGACTTCGGCTAAGTTGGAGTCTTGCTGGTTAATAGGACATGGATTCACTCAAGTCAAAACACAGGTTCAAAGTGGGGCATAATACACAGCAGACAGATGAGATTCATTACAAAATACTCAGCTAACATGGCGGGGAACAGGAATGAGCAAGACTTGAGGTCAGGTGATCAAGCATTAATAAAGTTTGTCAGGCCCCAAGTTTAAGTAGAGACTATTAGAGGTAAACTAAGTATCCCAAGGACTGGGAATAGATGTTGAGTGCTAATATACAGAAGGTATTCAACTGCACTTGTTCACCAAATGGAAACTTACAAAAGAAGCTGTTGCTCCAATGAGGTTTGTTTGCTGAACAATGTTTCTCATTTATGGCAGCCAAGACTTTCGGGTCAGCCCCAGGAGAGAGAAGCAGAGGTGGAGGGAAACTCCCTGAACTTAAAGGTGCCTAGACCAGGTCCAAGTCCCCTAAGAGGAGGGATTCCACTTCATATACCACCCTGAATCTGGCTGATGGAAGGAAGCTGTATTCTCTGGATGAATGAGGGCTTGGCCAGAGAGTTGATGTTCTCCATAGTTTAAGCTGGATGGGGCCCTTGGATGGGTGTCCATCTATCTAAGGAGACCCTGTCTTATCAGCATCCCAGACCCAGATGAATCTTAGAAATCCTGAAAGATTTCAGGTTGCCAGAAGCGGCTGGACACAAACAAAAGGCCCTTCACAGAGTAATTAAAATAAGCAAGAAGGTAAAGGCTCTGTGTGTCTAATTCTGCACTCAGCTGAGGGAGATGTGATGGATGAACCCCAAGAAATGGGCATGAGCCAAGCCTGTTTCCAGAAAAGCCTTTCCCTTATTGTGAGAACTGGTATTAGACAAAGTAATAATCATTTTCAGTTGAATCTTGTGAAAAACTGAATTTAACCTGAAAGTAGGTATTGCATTTCTTTAAATTCCATTTCATATGGTTCCACTCCATATCCATCTTCTAATGGAGAGGATGGTTTCTTAACTGTCTTGTTTGTGAACTGTCTGTGTGTTCATACTATGATTCTATTAAAGTTATTTTACTTGGAGAAGGATATTTAAACCTAGTCTGTGGGGCAGTGGATCTGGAAATGTTCTAGACCTCTGATCCTGTCCTGGCCTTTCTTAGTCACCCCTGCCTGTGCCAAGAGATAAGCCACTTACTTAGTACAATCAAACTCAAGGTAGTATCAACTACTTGGTGGCACCTCTGATTTAAGACAAAGGTGACATTGTGATGCTGTGAGGAAAGAATGGTATTTTCAATAAATGTCTTCAAGTCTACTGATGACAAAACAGGAGAAAAAAAATCTCTTTTTTCTGGCTGGAACCATGGAGGGTGCAGAAGAGAAGAAGAAGAAGGTTCCTTTGGTGTTTTAGACATGAAGTCCTTGCCCATGCCTATGTCCTGAATGGTAATGGCCAGGTTTTCTTCTAGGGTTTTTATGGTTTTAGGTCCAAGGTTTAAGTCTTTAATCCATCTTGAATTAATTTTTGTATAAGGTGTAAGGAAGGGATCCAGTTTCAGCTTTCTACATATGGCTAGCCAGTTTTCCCAGCACCATTTATTAAATAGGGAATCCTTTCCCCATTGCTTGTTTTTCTCAAGTTTGTCAAAGGTCAGATAGTTGTATATATGTGGCGTTATTTCTGACGTCTGTTCTGTTCCATTGATCTATATCTCTGTTTTGGTACCAGTACCATGCTGTTTTGGTTACTGTAGCCTTGTAGTATAGTTTGAAGTCAGGTAGCATGATGCCTCCAGCTTTGTTCTTTTGGCTTAGGATTGACTTGGCGATGCGGGCTCTTTTTTGGTTCCATATGAACTTTAAAGTAGTTTTTTCCAATTCTGTGAAGAAAGTCATTGGTAGCTTGATGGGATGGCATTGAATCTATAAATTACCTTGGGCAGTATGGCCATTTTCACGATATTGATTCTTCCTACCCATGAGCATGGAATGTTCTTCCATTTGCTTGTATCCTCTTTTATTTCATTGAGCAGTGATTTGTAGTTCTCCTTGAAGAGGTCCTTCAAGTCCCTTGTAAGTTGGATTCCTAAGTATTTTATTCTCTTTGAAGCAATTGTGAATGGGAGTTCACTCATGATTTGGCTCTCTGTTTGTCTGTTATTCGTGTATAAGAATGCTTGTGATTTTTGTACATTGATTTTGTATCCTGAGACTTTGCTGAAGTTGCTTATCAGCTTAAGGAGATTTTGGGCTGAGACAATGGGGTTTTCTAGATATACAATCATGTCATCTGCAAACAGGGACAATTTGACTTCCTGTTTTTGTAATTGAATACCCTTTATTTCCTTCTCCTGCCTAATTGCCCTGGCCAGAACTTCCAACACTATGTTGAATAGAAGTGGTGAGAGAGGGCATCCCTGTCTTGTGCCAATTTTCAAAGGGAATGTCTAAAACACCAAAAGCAATGGCAACAAAAGCCAAAATTGACAAATGGGATCTAATTAAACTAAAGAGCTTCTGCACAGCAAAAGAAACTACCATCAGAGTGAACAGGCAACCTACAAAATGAAGAGAAAATTTTTGCAACCTACTCATCTGACAAAGGGCAAATATCCAGAATCTACAATGAACTCAAACAAGTTTACAAGAAAAAAACAAACAACCCCATCAAAAAGTGGGCAAAGGATATGAACAGACACTTCTCAAAAGAAGACATTTATGCAGCCAAAAGACACATGAAAAAATGCTCATCATCACTGGCCATCAGAGAAATGCAAATCAAAACCACAATGAGATAACATCTCACACCAGTTAGAATGGCAATCATTAAAAAGTCAGGAAACAACAGGTGCTGGAGAGGATGTGGAGAAATAGGAACACTTTTACACTGTTGGTGGGACTGTAAACTAGTTCAACCATTGTTGAAGTCAGTGTGGCGATTCCTCAGGGATCTAGAACTAGAAATACCATTTGACCCAGCCATCCCATTACTGGGTATATACCCAAAGGATTATAAATCATGCTGCTATAAAGACACATGCACACGTATGTTTATTGCGGCACTATTCACAATAGCAAAGACTTGGAACCAACCCAAATGTCCAACAATGACAGACTGGATTAAGAAAATGTGGCACATATACACCATGGAATACTATGCAGCCATAAAAAATGATGAGTTCATGTCCTTTGTAGGGACATGGATGAAATTGGAAATCATCATTCTCAGTAAACTATCGCAAGGACAAAAAACGAAACACCGCATGTTCTCACTCATAGATGGGAATTGAACAATGAGAACACATGGACACAGGAAGGGGAACATCACACTCTGGGGACTGTTGTGGGGTGGGGGGAGGGGGGAGGGATAGCATTAGGAGATATACCTAATGCTAAATGATGAGTTAATGGGTGCAGCACACCAGCATGGCACATGTGTACATATGTAACTAACCGGCACATTGTGCACATGTACCCTAAAACTTAAAGTATAATAATAATAAAAAAATAAAAATTAAAATTAAAAAATTTAAAAATTAAAAAAGAATTAAAAAAAATTAAAAAAAGAAGAAGGTTCCTGCTGTGCCAGAAACCTTTAAGAAAAAGTGAAGGAATTTCACAGAGCTGAAGATCAAGCACCTGAGAAAGAAGTTTGCACAAAGGTGCTTCAAAAGGCAAGGAGGAAGCTTATCTATGAAAAAGCAAAGCACAGCCAGGTGCAGTGGCTCACACTTGTAATCCCAGCACTTTGAGAGGCCGAGGCGGGTGGATCACGAGGTCAGGAGTTCAAGACAAGCTTGGCCAAGATGGTGAAACCCCGTCTCAATGAAAAACAAACAAACAAACAAACAAAAACTACAAAAATTAGCCAGCCACAGTAGCAGGAGCCTGTAATCCCAGCTACTCAGGATGCTGAGGCAGGAGAATCGCTTGAACCCGGGCAGCAGAGGTTGCAGTGAGCCTCGATTGCACCACTGCACTCCAGCCTGGGCAACAGAGAGAGGCTCTGTCTCAAAAAAAAAAAAAAAAAAGAAAGAAAGAAAGAAAGAAAAGAAAAGAAAAGAAAAGAAAAGAAAAAGAAAAAGAAAAAGAAAAGCACTGTAACAAGGAATATAGGCAGATGTACAGAACTGAAATTCGAATGGCCAGGATGGCAAGAAAAGCTGGCAACTTCTATGTACCTGCAGAACCCAAATTGGCATTTGTCATCAGGATCAGAGGTATCAATAGTGTGAGCCCAAAGGTCCGAAAGGTGTTGCAGCTTCTTCGCCTTCGTCAAATCTTCAATGGAACCTTTGTGAAGCTTAACAAGACTTCAATTAATATGCTGAGGACTGTAGAACCATATATTGCATAGGGGTACCCAAATCTGAAGTCAGTAAATGAACTAATCTACAAGCGTGGTTATGGCAAAATCAATAAGAAGCGAATTGCTTTGACAGATAACACTTTGATTGTTCGATCTCTTGCATCATCTGCAGGAAGGATCTGATTCATGAGATCTATAATGTTGGAAAACGCTTCAAAGAAGCAAATAACTTCCTGTGGCCCTTTAAATTATCTTCTCCATGAGACAGAATGAAGAAAAAGACCATCCATTTTGTAGAAGGTGGAGATGCTGGCAACAGGGAGGACCAGATCAACAGGCTTATTAGAATGAACTAAGGTGTCTACCATGATTATTTTTCTAAGCTGGTCAGTTAATAAACAGTACCTGCTCTCAAATTGAATACAAAATAGTAATAATAACCTCTCTTTCTCACCGTACACTAAAAGCATTTCCAAATGAATTACTGATCCAAATGTGAGAAGTAAAACAATAAAGCTTTCAGTAGGAAATATTTACAGTAGACAAAAATTTCTTAAACAGGACACAAAAAGTACTAAATATAAAAGAAAAAATAATAAACTGGACCACAATAAAGTTAATAACATATGTTCATTTCATGAAAATGCATCATAAGGAGTGTAAAGAGACAAGACACAGACTGGAAGAAAATATTCATAATACATATATTCCACAAAGGACTCATATTCAGAATGCATAAAGAACTCTTACAACTCAATAAGAAAAAGGCAGATAATTCAATAGCAAAGATGAGGCAAAAGACATGAAGATTCACCTTACAAAAGAGGATATCCAAATGGCGAATAAACATATGAAAATGTTCTAGACTTCATTAGCCATCAAGGAAATGCAAAAAACAAAAACATAACGCCCACAATGTGACACTACCACATACCTAGCAGAAAAGCCAAAATGGAAAAGACAAATAATACCAAATATTGGCAAAGGTATGAAACAATGGGAAGTGTTCTATCTGCTGGTGAAGATATAAATCATTATAACTGCTTTGGAAAACTTTTTGGCAGTGTTTATTAAAGCTAAACATACTCATACCCCATTCCTTGGTATTTCCCCTTAGGTATATACTCCACAAAACTGGGTGTATATATTCGTCAATAGATATGTACGAGAGTATCCATAGCGGCTTTATTCATAATAGCACCAAGCTGGAAACAACCCAAATACCTTGTACAGTAAGATGGATAAATTGTGGCATATTTATACAATATAGAAATAAATTGCTATACACAACATGGATTAATCTCACATACATAACATTGAACAAAAGAGGACAGACACAAAACAGTGTGTATTTTAGGATTCTACATATACCAAGTTTCAAAACAGGCAAACTAATCTATGATGCTGGGAGTTGCCACAGAGATTACCCTTGAGAGGAGGAGCTAGTCAACAGAAAGGGACCCTGCAGGGGCTAATGTTCTAGGGTGCTCATAATGTTATTGATCTGTGTGCTGATTACTCAAGTGTGTTCACTGGGTAAAAATCCGTGGAGCTGTACACTTAGAATTTGTGCACTCTTCTGTACACTTGCTATACTTCAGTGAAAAGTTTATAACATGAAAATATAAACACAAACTACATTTAAGGAATAAAGTCCATGTAGGAAAATAAAAAATCCATGAAAACTGCTTTGCAAACTCAAATCTATAAATGACAGCAAAATGGATAGCTTCTAATTATCCCGATTATTCTCTTCAAAATGAGAATTTGTTGTGGGGTGGGGAGGAGGGATAGCATTAGGAGATATACCTAATGTAAATGACGAGTTAATGGGTGCAGCACACCAGCATGGCACATGTATACATATGTAACAAACCTGCACGTTGTGCACATGTACCCTAGAACTTAAAGTATAATAATAATTTAAAAAACTTGAACATTCCTTAAGAAAAAAAAAGAAAATTTGCTTTTTAATTTATTTAGTATCTATGTCCCACTTTCAAAAATAATTTGAAGCCATGGTCTTATTTGTTGAACAAATACACATAAGGGGCTTTTTAGTTTTCATTGGAAGCTTTTAGGGCATCAAAGTTGTTCAATTTTGTTTGGTTTACTTTTACTTTTTTCCCCATGTTAATATACAGGTTTATAAAAATACAATTTTTCTTGGCTAACACCCTCTAATGAAGATTAACAACCCTAATATTTACATAACCAGCAAGCAAATTAAGCTGAGCAAGACACAGTCCACCCAATCAGGATCTTTGGAAGGCTTCAGCCAGTGGCTGTAGTTCAGGTCTAACAGCTTGGCATTCATTGGAAAGGGAAGATTGGGAGCAATTATTTCAATAAGCCAAGCCAAGAAACACAGCTATGCTATTCAGGGAAAAGAGGAGGCCACAGAGACCAAGTCTACTTCTAGCAAAACGGAACCCGGCTGGCTAGTAAAAGCTGATGTTTCCCTACTCTGCCGTGTGTATTGGCTTTCACCTCTTCTGGAGGAAAGCTTTTGCAGAGGACAGATGGTTCTCTTACATTTGTATAATGCCTTATTATTTTCAGAGTTTCCTAGATACCAATAGCATCTGAATCTCATACTCACCTTACAATGAAAATAGAGAAGGTTAGTATTATCCCCTTTTCATTGGTGAAAGAACTGAGACTCAGACAACTAAGAGACTCTTTAAAACGACATGGCTGGCAAGTTCCATAGCATGGATAGAACATATTTGTCATGTGCTCTGTCCTTTGTACCATGGGGTCTCTTGGCTTCTCTCCAAGCCACTTAAGAGAATGAGATCCCACTTCCAAAACTTGGAAAAAAATTAAGCTAGGATTATTAGACACTGGGCAGCAGGCAAGCTGGAAGCTGTGCCACAGTCAAAGGAAAGGACAGCATTCACCTTCAAGATCATGCATTGTGGAGGCACTGGGGGGTACAGGGAGATAGGTAGGTGCCAAGACTCCTACTTGTAGCAATGGTTTCAATGCCTGAGTCTGACTCTACTACAAAAGGTCATCAGCAATGGTAGACTCATCTGGGCAGACTTTGCTACAGACAGGGAACTGACACCTGTGGTTATGAGACATACAAGTTCTGAAATCCATTCATGAACATAGTCAGTTTGGATTCTGCTAGGGTTGCATGCCGCCAATAGTAAACAGCATAAAGAGCACTGGCTTTGGAGTCTGCCAGACCTGGCTTTCAGTCCCAGCTCTATTTTTCACTCAATGTGTGCCCCAGAACACTTATCTGCTCTGAGTTTCAGTTTTTTTAGTCATAAAATAATAATGATAAAATATACCCATCAGAATTATTGTGAAAATTAACATAATAATAATATAAAGTTATTGGCATATAGTAGGCAGTAAATACATTTTTGTTCCTTTCTCTTCTCCCCAACTAAAAAATGATGGATTTTCTGTGAGCTTTTAAAACACATGAAAGGAATAGTTTCTATCTTCCTTGCTAGCCAGAATGAAATAAAAACATAAATCATTTAAATTCATACCTTCCAGGTAATCATATATGAATATATAATAACCTTCTCAGGTGGCCTAATTTAAGAACCTTTACCTATTTTTTTTTTCCTTTTTCACCTGAAAGTAATCTGATTAACTCAGCGCATGCTTCATTTCCTGGAATAGAAATTGCAATAATCTTCTCCTTAATTTCAATAATTGATTAACATGACAAAAACATGTCACCTATAGTCAGACTCTAGCACCCACAATATTCTCTAGAACTGATGTTTTGATGTTGCCAAATGCTGCCTGAAAGAAAAGCATCTGATTTCCAGGTTAACTCTAGATGTTCCCCTGGGCAAATTCCACAGGTTACACAGAAACACTAAGAGAAGGGGTTTCATACCTGGCTGCCTATGATCTTCCTTTTAAAAAGCAAATACAGTGTTTTCAAAATCTACAGGTGATCTTCCATGAGAAAGTTTTGCTGTTTCCTCAAACTCCATGAAGATTCCTCTCATAAACTGGTGCCCCTTCCCAGTTATCCTATTTCTGTCCATAAGCACATGTTCTTAGAATCTCAGAAACAAGAAACTGAAAGAGATTTCCATTAAAGCCATCTGATCTAGTACTAAAAACAAAAAATGCATTAATCATCCCACTGAACCCCTGATGGCCTGCTACTGACTAAACACAACCAGTAGAGGGGAGCCGACTACATCCCTGCTGCATTGTTCCCATTGTTGGTCAAGTCCTTCTATACATCTGGGTGGGATGTTTCTTGTTCCATCCTTCCCACTTTCATTAATCCCAGCTCTGCATTCTAGAGCAATAGGGGACAGACAAATCTCACCCTTCTTCCTCACTAAAGGCCCCACAACACGGAAGGCACCCATTATGTGTGTACACAGGTTTTACGCTCTGAATCAAACATTCAATCCAAAAAACATCTGAGGATCAACTGTGTGCCTCACACTGTTTTAGGTGCTAAGACAGGACATGTAAATAACATACAGCATCTATATGCAAAAAGCTCACAACAGTCCCTTAGAATTTCTGGATATGACCTGGCTTCTAGACCAACCACCCTCTCCCTCTTCCAGATACACTTTGGCCTAGTGATGCTTCTTTTAAAATGTGATTCTCAGAATATGGGAGAAAAACTGGATGGATGAGTCTGTGGATTATTTCCTAGTCTGATATTGTACTACAGTTGTGCAAGATGTTAACAGTGGGGGATGCTGGATGAAGGGCACACAGGACTTCCATGTATGTTTCTTTGCAACTTCCTATGAAGGTATAATTATTTCAAAATAATTTTTTTCTAATGGATGGAGATGCCACTAACACAAGCTACTGACAGGACAATTCAAAACCTAATAAAAGGCCCAAACTAGGATAGGTCCACCTACTCAAATACTTCTTGAAATAACACGGAGGCAAACAGACAGCAAGAACTGTCAGATAAAAGTCCACACTCTGTCTCTCCCTAGGAGGCAGAGTATCTTCCATAAGCACTTGCTTATAGAAGATGCTCCATGATCTGAATCTGCAGGGCCTTCTCCTCATTCGTATTCTGGAATGTCTGGATGGGCAGAGCCTATTGCCTGTGCTCCCTCTCACCTGGAGGGGCTGCATGGGGTGGGGAGTTATAAACCATTAGGCTTTGGAGTCCAACACACCTGGCTTTAAAATGTAGGCCCACCACTCACTAGCTGTGATAACCTGGGGACCTTACTTGCTCTTTTCAAGCCTCGCAAAACAAAGATGGTGATGAGCGCTATTATCTCACATAGTTTTGTAAAAGGAGACAATAAAATAATTTATATAAAGCACATGGTATAGTTCCAGCATCCACAAATAACTCAATAAATATTTGTTGTTTTAGAGCCTCACTCATGGATAAGTTCTAGGTTTCCAGGATTTACTAACCCCCACCTCTTTTTTTTTCTTTTCTTTTTTTTTTTTTTTTTTTTGAGACAGAGTCGCTCTATTGCCCAGGCTGGAGTGCAGAGGTGCAATCTCAGCTCACTGCAACCTCTGCCTCCCAGGCGCAAGCGATTCTCCTGCCTCAGCCTCCTGAGTAGCTAGGATTACAGGCATGCACCACCATACTGGCTAATTTTTGTATTTTTAGTAGAGATGGGGTTTCACCATGTTGACCAGACTGGTCTCAAACTCCTGGCCTCAAGTGATCTGCCTGCCTCGGCCTCCCAAAGTGCTGGGATTACAGGCGTGAGACACTGAGCCTGGCCCTTACTCCCTTTTTAACATCCGATAGAACATCTGCCCTTTCCCCACCTTCTAGTACCTCTCTAGCCTGCCAGGATGTCTCAAATTTCCAGTCCAGTGCTTCTCCTCGAGCCATTTGCAGTGAAGGCTCAGTTTGATTTTTTTTTCTGCTTTTATTCTAATCTGTTATAGACTAGTACTTTAGTAAACTATAATGAAAATGAATTACCAGCAAAGTACAATTTTAAAAACAAAAGTTCCAATTTTTTAATTTTTAGATTCAACAGACATAAAATTACTCTGGCAAATTGCTATAAAGTTTCTAAATGCTTCCTTTCTATTTCTGTGCTCCTCATTACTGACTGACAACAAATGGTTGGCAGAGCAGTTCCATGGACCACACTTTAGGGAGCACTTCTCCATTACCTCCCTTCTCCAAGCCTGTAGGAACCTTACTTTCAGTGAAACACAACTGAGGGCTTAAGATCTCTGTGTTTTGGATATTGGTTTTAATTGCCAAGGAGGATTGTATGCTCTCTGAGTGCCAGGGTCATGCCCACTGTGCTCAGAACCAGATGCCTCATGAGGGCCCAATTCCTGCTGATAATCTAAGCACTCAAACAGGCATATTATTTACTTTTACCTTTCCATGATTTCACCTTGATGGTGCACCCTTGAAAACCTGCCTAAAGAGAACACTTTGTCCCTTCAACATCCCTCCCTGTTTGCCTGCATTCCATCTATTTCTGTGTGTGTCTTTTTTACCACCTGCTTCATCTCCATTTAACTGAAACGTACCAGATATAGTCACAGTTTCTTCCACAGAGGGAGAAGACAGGACAAATCTCAGAAAATCCCATTCATCAGAAAAGCTGGCTTCTGGCTCACCAGATAAACATTTAAGGAAATGGAGTGGTTACATTAATTTACTTCCTGGGGATACTGTTAGCCTCATCTCTGTGTCTCTCTAATGCTGGGCACATACTAGCTGCTCAGTAGACGTTTATGTGAAGTGGGCACAGAGTAGCAGCTGCTGCAGTGACTGCAAGTCACACCTTTGGTCATGTCACTCAGAAGAAGAGGGGCAGTGAGTGGCACTGCCACAGGAAGAAGCCTCAGATGTCACTGAGACCAGTGGCTGTCTACCCTGACAGAACAATGAAATCACTCAGGGAACTCTGATACAATACTCACTCCTACATCTCAGACCCAGAGACTTTTTAATGTCATTGATCTGGGGTGAAGCTTGGGCATCAGCGTTTTTCAGGTTCCATAGGCAATTCCAACGTGTGGCTAGGGTGAAAACTCACTGATTTAGAACACTCTCCCATCCACACAGGTACGTAGCAGAGTTCCTTAAATGTTTGTTGAGTAGATGAATGAGGGAGTCACTGGATCAGTAGATCGATAAAGGGAGGAGGATAGGTCTGGAGCAAATGCGAACATGGCCTTAACCCTGTCTCCTCAGATCCCTCACCTCCAGCTGCTGGGCATCTTTTCCCAAGGTCCAGCCTTAAGCTCTAGCCAGGAAGCATCCTCTTGCCCATAAGAGAAGGGCTTGCTCCTCCCCTCAAACACTGGTCCCTAGGAAAGCACTGACTTAGTCCACCCTCACCTTTTTCAAGCAGGAAACTCCTGGGCTTTCTTGAACACACACCCAGAAGGCTCCACAAATACCACTGGCCTCAACTTCTACAGAGTAAGAACACTCTATCTCATCTATTTCATGTTTATTTAATGGCTGCTTGGATTGTTTTCCTGGAAGCCTTCAGTCCAGGGTGCCATCTCAAACTACAGACTTCCAGACGACAGAGGCCCAAGAACACTGTAAAAAGTGACTCGTTTATGAAAGTCTAGTAAATGGATGCTGCTGTGGTAATGCTGCAGAGAGACAAGAGGGAAGGGGAGGATGAGAAATGGCAACCAGAAGGAGGAAGAGGAGGAGGATGAGGAAGAGGAAGAGGATGAGGAAGAGGAGGAGGATGAGGAAGAGGAGGAGGATGAGGAAGAGGAGGAGAAGGAAGACGAGGAAGAGGAGGAGGATGAGGAATAGGAGGAGGAGGATGATGAGGAAGAGGAGGAGGACGAGGAAGAGGAGAAGGAGGACAATGAGGAAGAGGAGGAGGACGAGGATGATGGTGACAATGACAAGGAAGTGGTGTGCATACCTGGAAGGGGAGATGCTAGCTGCCCACTGTGGGCAGGCACAGATGCACAGATGACACAGAAGATCAGGCAGTACCCACTACCCCTTCCTAAGGAGCAGGGAAAAATTTAGCTAAGCTCAGACTTCTCTGCTGGGAATGCGTGCCTGGGGCTGCCCCAGGTTCTGATCTCTGGCTGCTCTTTAGTTGCTGATGCTGCTATTTTTAGCTGAACAGTGGCCCCTTCCCAGCCTCCTCTCCAACCTCTAGTTCCAGGATCTCAGAGGAGCAGCTGGACTTGTCATTCTCCCTCTGGATCCTGGACTTCCTACTCCATGAAGCTACAACTGAGTCAATTTGGGATGCTATTTGGGAATGTTTGGAAGGAGATGAACATAGGGTAGCTAGGGAGTCAGTTGTGAAATCCAACACTTATTTTTCAGGCCAGAAAAAGAAAAAAGGTACATATGTTAGGTCCAAGGAGAACACTCCCTCTGGCCCCAAAAGAGACACTCCTTAGATCCCCCCCTTACTGCCCATCTAATAGCTTCCAATTGTTCAGATTATCCTGTTCTAAAATGAAAACTGGCTTTTTTAAAATTTATTTATTTAGGATATATGCCCCACTTTCAAACAGAATTTGACGCCAGTCTTATTTATTGAACAAATATACATTAGAGCCTTTTTAGTCTTTATTGGAAGCTTTTAGGACACCAAAATTGTTAAATTTCACTTGGTTTACCTTTGTTTGTCCTGCCTGTCTATGTATAGATGGCATTCCATCACTAGCATTAATAGGTATTTTCTGGTATGTTTCTCTCTCTCCATTTAAAGGGGAAAAAGAAACACACACTATTTGGGCACCCTTGTTTCCTAGCACTCTGTGAGGCTCTATTAGTAGTTTTCTTCATGCAATTCTTACAACCCATGAACTAAGTTAAGGGACCCACCCAGGGCCACACAGCTCGCAAGTTGCAGAGCTGGGATTCAAATCCAGGACTTTGTGACTTCAAAGCTCACAGACGTCCATCTTCCCCAGAAAACAAGCCTCATACTCCTGTCATCAAAAAGAGCAATCTGTTCCCAACCCTAAAGCCCCATTAGACTGGTACTTCCCATTGGGCTCAATAAACCATGTGGATTGCCTGAACCACCAGTTTCCAGAAAATAGAGAGGGAAACACATCCACCATCCACATGACAGTGAGATATGAAGAAATATGTGCCTTTTCTTGCTAGATCAGCTTTTTTGGTGGCTGCGGAAAGAAAGGAGGGGAGGCACCCAGCCAAGAGAGGTGAATTATGGATAATCCCAGAGTCTGCAATAACATTTCCCCTTCCCAGAAGCACCTCTTAACTGCAAGAATTCCAATAAAATGATTCATTCATTAATCATCCAATAGATTTTCACTGAACACCTACTATGTGCCTAGTACTAGAAACTGTATTAGGTGCTGAGGGTAGAAAAGTGAAAAAAAAAAGCCATCACAGTTTCTGTCCTTATAAAGCTAGTAGCTATAGGGAAACAATGCTGGGGTTCAGAGGCATTTGTGGGGTGATAGCATCCCCTGACACACTACCTTAAATTTAGCACTGAGGCACTTTTGTGGGAGGAGGAGGAGAAGGAGGAGTAAAGGAAACCAAACTCGTTGCTATGCAACAGTGATGATTTATTCTTAGAGCAGGGAGAGCAGCGGCATGGTGCAGGGAGTGGGTGGGGGGTGGAGATGGAAAGAGGGGAGGCTGGAGGAGTACAGAGTGGGAGGAAAAGTGGTATAAGCAAGCATCGAGGCTACACACACAGGCCTCTCCCCACGGAGCCGCTCACAAATGGACACTCCACAGAATCATTCTCTCCAGAGCTAGGCAGAATACTGTAGGGACAGCCCCAGGAACCACTGAAAAACCCTGGTTCTTAGGTCTGAAATTAACCTTCAGGTACTGTAACCAGGCCTGCAATGAATACCAAAAAGGGACAAAAGCTGAACATAACAATCTTTACTCCCACCAGGGAAGTAGGACTCACACACATAGTTGACCAACAAGTATTTATTAAGCACCTTCTCCATGTTCATTCAACATTGTGCAGGATGCTGTGGGGATAGAGACAGCCCTCAAGCTGAAGGAGCCCATGTGTTGGCTGGGTACAGAGACAGACACCTGCCTGAAACGCAGGACTGAGTGCTGGACCTGGCTCAGCCACTTACCTGCTTGGGGAAGCCTGTGGCAAGTCGCTCCACATCTCTGGACCTCAGGCATCCGCTCTCTAAGTTGAGAGACATAAACAAAGCTTAGCCCTATGTCTCTGACACTGTACATGCCACAGGATCTCAGTAAGAGCAGAGGTGAGTATCACCTGGGGTACTTGGGAAGGGCTGCATGGAGAAGGAGGAATTGAGAATGGAGGGGAGAGGGAGATAAATGTTTCCTGAGGGCCTATTATGTATTTTTACCTAATGATAAAGAATAGTTTCCCCATTTTCAGAGTTGAAAAGGCCAAAGCCTCAGAGAGTGACTTGCTCAAAACCACACAGCAGAGCTGGGATTCAAACCCAGATCCTCCCAGCCCCAAAGCCTGAGCACTTCCCACTGGCCCACACTGCTTCTCTGAGATGCTGAGATTTAATAGGAAAAAGGGGTGCAAGGAACACTGGTTGAGGCAACACAGGCAGAGATACTGACAGGCTGAAAAATAGCCAGGATTAACAAGGGCAGATTCCTGGGGCAAAGACAGGCTGTGACTGAAAGGAAGGTGAGAACGCAGAAAGAATGAGAACCAGGCAGTCACTAACCAACACCCTTCATTGTGCCAAGTGCTATGGAAAAGACAATTTGCAACCAAGGAGATAAAATGTGAAAATTAACAATTAGTGAAAACCTACAAAAAGTGCCAAATGAGATGTACAAAAATAAATCATAGTACAGTTTAAATGGGGATTCTGTGGAAGAAGGAGTTTGGATCTGAGCCTTAAAGGATTCAGGGGGAGGACAGGTGAGGAGAGGATGAGAGAGGTAAGGGCATTTGGAAAAGGAAAAATCTCACCCACATGAGAAAAAGCAGAAAATATGCTCCAAGGAAGATCACTTTGCTTAGAAGACAGAGCTGGTGGGAAACAGTATAAAAAAGTGGGGTTGGGCGAGGCTAGGGAGTTGTGGCTGACAGAGTGAGGATTCTAATCTTCGACCAGGGCTATGAAAACCATCAGCTGTTCCAGTGAGGAAAGACATGGTGAAAAGAGGAGTTGAAGTAAAAGAAACCTGCAGGGTTCAGAAAGCCAGGGAAGGAGCTATTAGGCATGGGATGAAGAGAGTCTGAATTAGGGATGGCATTGGAGGTGGCCAGGAAGGACCGGTTCCCTGGGTATTTCAAGGACAAACAGACAAGTCCTGGTGACTGGGGGGCTGAAGAAGGCGGAATCAAAGTTAACCCAAGCTTCAAGGCAAGAACATGATGGTATCACATTCAGAACTAGAGAAGCCCAACAAAAAATTTGCGGAGAAGGTGGTAATGAGGTAGATTATTTCCATTCTATGCATTTTTAAGATTCTTCTAAGATATCCAAATGAAATAATCATGAATCATAAACTCAAGAAAAGGAAACCTGAGGCTGGGGAAGGGGAGGTGAAGTCACCCATGACCCAGGGTGAGACCAGCCCTCCCCTACTCCCTGTGCCCCCCCCGGGAGGGCAAGGCTGCTGCTTTGGGAGTTGGAAACTGTATGCTCTGGTGAAAGAAGTCACAGGGAGAATGGGAATGGACTCTCAGGGCCAACACTTAATTATTCCCATCAGTAGAGCAAGTGAAGCTTTCAAACAGGGTGAAGCCACTTCCCTGTCCAGGCAAGAATTCCTTCTGTGCTCTAGTGAGGGGTCATCTAGCCTTTGCCATGGGCAGGGAATCACAGGAGACCTCACCCAGCATCTTGCTATAGAGACAGGGGATAAGATTTTGGATTCAGAGAGACCTGGGTAAGAATCTCACTTGTTCCATCTGGGGCACCTTGAACTGAATTCCATCCTCAAGATAAGGTCTGACAGAGACAGAGAAGAGCTCTATAAATGCAGCTCATGGCCCCTAAAATATCACTTCTATTCGCTTGTCAGTGGCAGTTGAAATTCTACCATTAGAGATTTATTTCTCTAGCTTAATATGTTTCTTTTAAACTACACATTCTCCTGTGAGGCATAACTTAGTGAGTTGTTACCAGCCGTAAGTACAAGAGTATGTATTCATTTATCAGATGCCTGGGGGAGCCAGGGTTTTAATGCTTTGGAGAGGAGGAGAGGGGCATTCTGGAGGTGGAATCATTGGCCATATTTGGGTAGGCTACTGAAGTTAGTCAACGATTGACCGGACTGGCAAAGGGACCTAGAAAGCAAGTTTCACAGCTTCACTGGGGATCAGTCCTAATCATCAGATAAAAGAAGTCACAAGAGAGATAACTCTGCTGGTGGAACTACCATATGACAATATGGGCCCTTTAGGGTACAATATGAAAGATAGGGGGCAGGACCTCTCCAGAGAGCACGGCAAAGCGCAACAGAAAAGCCACTTCTATCTCCCGTGAAGGCAGAGTTAGAGAGATCAAGGTGTACCAGGAGAAAGGAGGTCTGAAACCAGGAAGCCCTTTCAGATGATACAAAATCCCCCCTTGTTGCTCACCTAAGCTTTCATTCTGCACCAACCCAGTCCTGAAACTGTTATTTCAAAGATGACCATGATCTCCTCACATCCAATCCCCCACAGTTCTATCTCACTCTCCAATCCTTGAGTGTAGTGCCCTCTCCTTCCTTGCAACCCTTGACAAGGGAACCCCCAGGTGCTCTGGTTTTTCTACCATGTATCTGACCACTCTTGCATTCCCTCTCACTGTGCCCTAAGGCTCTGCCTCTCTCCTCTCTGTACAAACCCTCCTTGTCCCTAACAAGAGAGGGACTGCTGCCCAGCAGTTCTCAGCAAAGCAGAAAGTAGTGGTTTAGAAGAGTCTATACTGTGCAGGGCCTAGTACATAGCTAGTACACAATAAACTGCAGGAGGAATAAAGAAATGAATGCATTAAAACACTAATCCAAGTGTGACTCAAGAGGATCATGCCATAGGAAGCCACAAAAGATGTAGTATTTTGTTCTGTTTCTGTGGAAGCTTCACTTACTTAACATATACACCCAAACTTTGACACATGAGCACCCACCCATTCAGCATGTTTTCTCTGGAGAACAACTTAAAGAGAGTGTTGTCAACATCAGAATCCCTTTGCCTCCTCATTACTCTGGTCTTTTGCATCCAAGGAGATATGGTTCTCACAAAGGACCATGTAACCAAGAGAAAAAAGAAAGGATCTGGGCCCTATAGATGGAACCTGAGAGGAGAGCTCTTCTCTACCACAAAAGGACTTTTATCCCTGGGCTAGCTTCCCCAGCCTCCTGCTGCAAGTCCTCCCATATGCTCCCCGGTCCCCACTCTTGCACCATTTATCTTTGCAGTGAGCTTTTTCTGTGGCCTCACATCTGTATTATATGCGCCATGATACATACATATGTAAACAATATCAGAGAACACCATCTCAACTTTTGGGCTCCCTCACACTAATAGCCTTCCTTTTCCCCCCAGCAGAAGTGTCATGGAGATGAATACCATGGTCTCCTCCAACAAGCTGGGAGCTCTCTGAGGACCAAAGCCATAGTTAGGAGTTACCCCCTCTGTACTCACCATGTCCCTTCAGTGGTCCAGGGGAATACTCTGCCATACAGGCCCCCTAGTTCATGCTGATGACTGATCTATGAAGACCAAAAGGCCCGGGAATTCCACAGAAAGGAGGAGGAGAATACATAAGGAAAGGTGGAGGGAGAGAATATGGGAGAAGGGAAGAACTTCAGTGAATCCTCTGGCCTCAGTGGCTTTCTTGTATCCTGCCTCAGTCACTCTTTTCATCTTTGACCCTGGCATTGATCATTGAGATTTGCTCTTTGATCTGCTTGTCTGTCTCTGCCCATTGAGTGTGAAGCATTGCTATTTGTCAGATATTCTGAGCACCAGAACCCATGCAAGAAAGTTGTCAAGGCAACAGAACCTCTTTGGTATAAATACTGGTGGGTGATACCACTGGTGGAGTAGAGCACAGAGAGCCTCCCCTCCCCCTCTTTTAGTCAGAGCTAACTGACTTCAAAGTTGGGGGAGTGGAAAAGAGTAGGTCTCTCCAAAGACATGCTAAATTGATGTCTAATGGTGATCCAGCAGGGAGAGAGGATTTTGCAGTTCTGATTAGCTGCTCAACTCCCACTGAGCCCAGAGGTGGCAGTGAGGGGCAAAGAGAAAGCTGCAGGAGGGTGGTGGAAGTGGCACAAATTGTGGGAGATGCCTGAAACCACAGTGCTAGGATGTGGCACCCAGGACAGGCTCTGTGAACCTTGAGATACCAGCCTGCTGGGGGCCACTGGGGATCCCTGGGAATGTCCAGGGCCTTAAGCTCCGACTAGGGCTGTTCTGACCTCCCTTGTTCTCTATACTTCCTCCCAGATCCACAAAAACACATACTTTACAGAAGATTCTTAGGGTCAAGCATCCATATCCCAATGCTGTTCAGAGAAAACTGTGCCCTTCACCCCTGCCCTCAGAGGACACTATTACATTCAGATGGCCATTTCAGCCATCTCCCTGCATCCGACCCACACCCAGAGCACCATTTTTAGCCTTTTCCCTTCTCTAGACCTCAGTAGTCCCATTTCTAAAAGGAGAGAGAGCTTTCCTCCTCTTCCTCCAGCCTCCAGTATTTCTGGAAAGGGTAAAAATAACATAAAATTTGCGTGTAAGGACTCCTTGGAGAAACTCTTTTAAGAAGTAGTCAGTTCCAGCAGCCCTGCTAGTCAGGAGGCTTGCATCCTCAAGTTAGTCCCAGCCCTCACACTTGGAGAGAGAGAGGGAACAGCAAACAAGGACAAGGTGGCATTCATTCATTTCCCCTTTTCAACCACATCCTTACATCCTCTGCACAAATGCTCCATTGCTCCCATAATGAGCTGTCCCTCATTAGAGCCCCACCCTACACCTTTGCTCACCCCATTGACACAGCACATCTCACACTCACTCATCCTGCCAGGACCAGCAGGCTCACAGCCTTCCCAGCCACACAGCCAACTGGACTCTTCTCCCCACTCTTATGGACTTGCCACCTGCAACAATCACTTAACACTTACCTCACTCTGCTTTTTCTCATTAACCAGTTTTTGGCAGCCCTACAGCATCTAGAACAGTGTTGTACACGTAAGTAAATATTTGTTTTGAGGTTTCATTTTTTAAATGCATTGTTCAGCAAAACCGGCGACTCCAGTGTCCAGGTAACAAGCACGTCCCTCCAGAATGAGAATCCAGACTCCCCATGTCCTCTGCTATATTCATCAGCATAGCCTCTTCCTCCTCTCCCAAACACACCATTCCTGCTGTGGCCTCAAACATTCTTTCCAGGTGCCCAAACTCTCACAGCTGCTCTGCCCCATCAACCCTGTTCCCTAATCATCCGGGTCTGCTCAGGGCCTCGCTCCCCACCTCTGGCATCACTCCGCCCTGTTTCCATCACTAGTGCCTCCATAATTTCCTGTAGTGCGAAAACAAGAAGTAACTTTAAAGAGCAGTGTCACCAGCTTTGTAACAAACACTCTGGTACATGCACATCCATGACCATCTTTTCCCAGGTCACACTCTGCACTAGGAATCTGTGTCCTGGATTAGGATTCTAGGATCTTCTGGCTGCCTCAAACCTCTACCCAAAATTTCTGGGCCTTTAACAGCCACTAGGTTTCCTGGCAAGAAACTGGTTATTGTTTCTCCCTGTGAGGAGACCCTAAAGGCCAACAAACTCTACTCTCCTCCCAGAGGTTAAGTAGACAGGCAGGCCCACCTCACTCTACCACCCAGGCTCCCCTAGAGCCAGCCTATTTGCTACCTGGTAGGCCAGTATTCAAATCCTGATTCCAATCAATGGGGGGGGGACCTTGGCAATTTGGTAAAATTCAGTCAGCATGTAATGAACAAGTGCCTCCTCTCGTTCTAAAGGATCAGGGGCTCTCATAGCAAGGTCCCCAGACCAGCAGCATCAGCATCACCTGGGAACTTGTGAGAAGTATAAATTCTTGGGCCCACTGTAGACCTGCTGAATCAGAAACGCTGAAGGTAGGGCAAACAACTTGTGTTTTAACAAGTCCTCCAGATTATTCTGATGTGTGCTCAAGTTTGAGTTCCACTGACTTAGGCCCTGGGGATATAAAAAAAAAAATGAAAAACCCATAATCTAAACTATCAGTTCTTAGCCCTGGCTGCAATTAAAATAAGCTGGGGAGCTTTTAAAATAATACCAGTCTGGGCCCCATCCCAGACCAATTTCATTAGAATTTCTAGGTGTGGGGAAGTCATCACAATGCAATATACTGAGTGCAAAGACTGTAACAGGGTATGCAGGCAAGTGAGAAGGGATCCTGCAGTAAGGAGATGAGGACAAGCAGCTGCACCATCTGTGCCTCCATTTTCTCATCTGTAGAATGGGGAATGTAACAGTCCCTTGAAGGACTATTGAGAATTACATAAAATGATATAAGGAAATGCCCAGTATATAGCAGATGCCCAGTGTTCATCACTTCCCTTCTTTCTCCAGAATGGGCCCCTGGTTGACTCTGAGTTGAGCAGCTGGGCTGCTGTGTTTAGAATGTCCCCTACACTGGTCCCTCATCAAGGACCCTTCCCCACCAAGAAAGAAAACTTCATGACTGTTCATAGTTTGGGGCAAGAGTTCTCTTCAGCAGCCATCTCCATAATCCCAGCATCTTGATTCGCTGTCCTTAAAAACAGGCTGGGTCCCTTGGAACCAGACTTTCCCTATAAGACAGCTCACAGTGCAGACCCCAGACCTCTAACACCCCCACACCCTTTCAAAGAACACCTATTTTTTAAATTTTATTTTCCATAAGTTATCGGGGTACAGGTGGTATTTGGTTACATGTGTAAGTTCTTTAGTGGTGATTTGTGAGATCCTGGTGCACCCATCACCCAAGCAGTACACCCTGCACCATATCTATAATCTTTTATCCCTTGCCCCCCTCCCACTCTTCCCCACAAGCCTCCAAAGTCCACTGTATCATTCTTATGCCTTTGTGTCCTCATAGCTTAGCTCCCACATATCAGTGAGAACACACGATGCTTGGTTTTCCACTCCTGAGTTACTTCACTTAGAATAATAGTCTCCAATCTCATCCAGGTCATTGCAAATGCTGTTAATTCATTCCTTTTTAGGGCTGAGTAGTATTCCATCATATGTATATACCACATTTTCTTTATCCACTCATTGATTGATGGGCATTTGGGTTGGTTCCACAATTTTGCAATTGTGAACTGTGCTGCTATAACCATGCGTGTGCAAGTATCTTTTTCAAGTAATGACTTCTTTTCCTCTGGGTAGATACCCAGTAGTGGCATTGCTGGATCAAATGGTGGTTCCACTTTTAGTTCCTTAAGGAATCTCCACACTATTTTCCACAGTGGCTGTACTAGTTTACATTCACACCAGCAGTGTAGAAGTGTTCCCTGATCACCGCATCCACGCCAATGTCTACTGTTTTTTTGTTTTCTTATTATGGCCATTCTTGCAGGAGTAAGGTGGTATTGCACTATGGTTTTGATTTGCATTTCCCTGATCATTAGTGATGTTGAGCATTTTTTCATATGTTTGTCGGCCATTTGTGTATCTTCTTTTGAGAATCGTCTATTCATGTCCTTAACCCACTTTTTGATGTAATTGTTTGTTTTTTTCTTACTGATTTGTCTGAGTCCGTTGTAGATTCTGGATATTAGTCCTTTGTCAAATGTATAAATTGTGAAGATTTTCTCCCACTCAGTGGGTTGTCTGTTTACTCTGCTGACTGTTCCTTTTGCCATGCAAAAGCTCTTTAGTTTAATTAGGTCCCAGATATTTATCTTTGTTTTTATTGCATTTGCTTTTGGGTTTTCGGCTATGAAATCCTTGCCTAAGCCAATGTCTAGAAGGGTTTTTCAAATGCTGTCTTCTAGAATTTTTATAGTTTCAGGTCTTAAGTCTTTAATCCACCTTGAGTTGATTTTTGTATAAGGTGAGAGATGAGGATCCAGTTTCATTCTTCTACATGTGGGTAGTCAATTATACCAGCACCATTTGTTGAAAAGGGTGTCCTTTCCCTACTTTATGTTTTTGTTTGCTTTGTCAAAGATCAGTTGGTTGTAAGTATTTGGGTTTATTTCTGGGTTCTCTATTCTGTTCCATTGGTCTATGTGCCTATTTTTATGCCAGTATCACGCTGTTTTGGTGACTATAGCCTTATAGTATAGTTTGAAATCAGGTAGTGTGATACCTCCAGATTTAATCTTTTTGCTTAGTCTTGCTTTGGCTCCATGGGCTCTCTTTTTGGTTCCAAATGAATTTTAGAATTGATTTTTCTAACTGTGTGAGGAACGATGGTGGTATTTTGATGGGGATTGCATTGAATTTGTAGCTTGCTTTTGGCAGTATGGTCATTTTCACAATATTGATTCTACCCATCCATGAGCATGGGATGTGTTTCCATTTGTTTGTGTCATCTATGATTTCTTTCAGCAGTCAAAGAACACCTCTTTAAAGCAACTTGATAAAGGCCATTTTAGTTATACTAGGAACATGTTGTCCTATTCCGGCTGCCCTGAAACTCTTTTTGCCTGTGGTTCCAGGCAAGCAGACAGGCTCAGGATGAGATCTCTGGACTCAGGTAGCCCTCCCTGATGCAGGATTTGTCAGTATCCAAACTCCTTCTCCAGGAACATGTGAACGATAGGGGACTTGGCAATAGCCCCAGATTCCTCTAGCGCCTCCCTCCCCATAAGGCACAGGAGTGGGTCTGCAATCACAGGCAGTGCCCTGGGTGGGCCCTCCACAATGCCACAGATCCTGACCTGTGGCCTCCTGAATTGAAGACAGAAATGAGGGCTGTCCTTGTTAGCTACCTCCGGGGCTCTGTGCTTATTCTAGCAGACACTAAACATTTTTGAACTTCTGAAAACAGCCTCGACTGTCGTTCTAAATTTAAAAACAAGCAAACTGTTTCATTACTTAATAGACAAACCTTGTGTTGTGTTTTTTTGAGGTGGGGGAGAGAGGAAGGTTGTTGTTTTGTTTTTTAAACTAAAATACTGTCACCCAGCTTGCCCAGATTTGATTCCCTCTTCCCCAGATTTTCCCGAATGGAGTTGGGCTGTTTCCAAAAACCAAATTAGTATTCAAAAACAGTTCTGAAGTTTTAATCACCACTAAGGATATATTTTTTTTAATTTTTAAATTTAAAAAATAAAAAGTAACCCCGCACCATCAGATCAATTGGCTGTTCCCAGAATGCAGATCCACAGTTGGAACACAGGCAGCATCCCTGGCATGAGCTGCCTCAAGGCCGTGCTGTGAGGAGAGTAACCCTCATCTGGAAGTGGTCAGTGAGGCAGTCAGTCATGCTATCACCTACTAAGTGCCTCAGAAACCAAATTCCAGAGGACAGAGAGGAAGATGGATTTGACTTCAGAGAAAACAGTGTAAATGCCCCAGCAGGAGGAACCAGAACAACTCCCAAAGAGACAGGGGCTGCCAGGGGAGAATTTGTGTCTTCAGAGGTTAAGGTCTGGTCTAGTTCCCTGCCTCTGACCCACAAAGCTCTCATGAAAGAACTTGGAATGTGAGACGGGGCAAAAATCCCTGCCAAAACAGCCATGAAGGAGCCAGAAAAATGAAGGTGCCACAAAGCTTTTCCCCAATTCTCTGAGTTACAAGGCCCTGGTTCCTTCCCAGACACAACAAAGTCACCTTCTCCTGGCCTCATCATCCTCCTCTTCCTTCCCCAAGTCCTGCCGTGTGTAAAAGAAGATCTCTGCCCAGGCTGACCAGAGGAGAGTAAGGTATTTTCTTCCTGGCTTTGCACATTCATTCAGCCTTGAAAAGCTCAGGCCAGGAAAGAAGTCCAGGAGTATGTGTTGTGCGGTGCTGCAGTGCTCACTTCCCAGTGATGGAGGCTCCCTCTCACTAAGTTTCTTCTCCTCCCATCAGTGTTCTCACCGGCTCGGGTTCTAGGCTCTGGGCACTTGAAGTGATGATTGAGCTTCCCTCACAAACCTTAGGAAAATGTGGCCCCAAACTAAGCATTACTAATGCACAGCTTTGCTCATCAAGACATGTCCACCTGGGGCTCCAACAGGGTAGAGGAGGCTGGAGGGATAGGAAAGTGGTTGTGTAATTCAGGCAGCACCCAGTCATCAGCACTAATGATGGAAAGAGATACTGGGTTGTTGAAATGATGGATAATCAATATTCCAGAATAATGGATATTGTTTGTTAGGAGACAACATGATTCTTGGCAGCTGAGTTGTCTTCTTAAAGATCTACTTGTAAAAAACAGCCACATGAAAAGAAGACTGTTCCAGATTTAAAACTGACCATATAATACACATACGGAAAAAAAGTGAGAACTGGCTATGTGGGGAAGACATGGAGGAAGTTAGAGCTCAGAGGGACTTATGACATCATTTCCCCCATTTTACAGAGGAGGAACTAAGGTCCAGGGAAGCGAACAGATTGCCTTGTGTCACATAATTATTTGGTGGAAAAGCCAGAAATGGGCCTGGGTTGTCTAAACAGGGCACTGTTCACTTGGCCACAGTAGTCCAAGGGCTTCACCTGGAAAAGAACCATCATTCTAAGCATGTGATGCTGACCTCCCGGCAGTGGCTGCTTCTGTAATCACCACAATTTCCCAACACACAAGTCACCTCATGTGTTCCTACACCCTGATGTCACAGCTGCCACTGAGAGCCCTGAGCCAAGTACCATGATGATTCATAAATCACTGCCCAATTCTTTAAAGTCACAGCATTGTCTTTGTCAACAGCACCTTATGTGATTCTAATCAGTAGCTGCCATCAATTTCATCAAGTTCAAGTACAATCTTACTTCTTAGTATTTGGGTGGCCCTTTTAATGTTTTTCAAAAACTCCTTGATAGCTTATACCTCACTTTATGTTCACCAGACCCCATGGGTCAAAGGTAGAGGAGTGACTGGAAGGTCTATTTCATATACTCCTTGAAGAACTGACCTGTAAGTAAACACAGTTGGTAACTGGGGCTGAGAGACTATAGCAGAGGACTCCTGAGTCACAGACTCCAGTTCTTTCCAGAGCAAGTTGGAAGCAGGAAAAATATGCTAAAATTCACAAGAAGTTTCAGGGGCAAGAACCTTAAGAATATTATCTGTTAACCTTCAGACATATAGAAGACACTGGGGTCTGTGGCAAATTACTCAGCATCACACTTCAGCAATCTCTCTTCCTTTTCTTTGCTTTTTCATTAAAGCATAACTTGCACAAAGTATACAAATCATAAGGGTACAGCTGGGTGAATTTCTGCATATGTTATACACTAATATAATCACCAGACCAAGATTTAGAACATTTACAGCTACCCAGAAGGCTCCCTCATGCCCCCTTCCAGTCAAGAATAGCTATTATTCTGACCTCTGTCCCACACATTAGGTTTGTTTGGTCATATAAGTGGGAGAATACAATATGTATTCTCTTATGTCTGGCTTCCTTTCGCAATCTTCTAAGATGCTTCTATACTATTAGAGTGCCAATAGTGCGCTCTTTATCTTTTCTGTATAACATTCTGTGGCGTTGATATACAATGTATTTATCCATTCTACTGTTGTTGGAAACAACATTTTGGTTGTTTCCAGTTTGAGGCTGTTATGAATAAAGCTGATATGAACATTCTTGTACATGCTTTTGTTTTTGTTTTTAGATGGAGTTCAAATCTATTGGGTATATCCAGGTGTAGAATTATGGGTTCATGGGGTGTGCATAATAGATATCATGAAAATTCTCTTTAAAGTGCTGTATAAATATACACTCCCACCAGCAAAGTAAGTTCCAGGAACTCCATAGTCTCAACAAAACTTGATATTATTGGTAAATAGTCATTTTTAAAGTATCACTGGAAAAGACGGTACCCCATGTATGTTTCCAGATAACTGATGTTAGTCTTTAAGCAGTTTTTAAAAAAAATCTAATAATTTTACTTCTTGAAAATAGTAAACTACCTAACCATTGCAGACTACACTGAGAAGTTCAGAGAGCTCTGAATATACATTTAACATATTCAGAGATATACTAAATATCTAAGGATTTCACTCTCTCCTCCTTCATGGGTAGATATCACTAAGGTATCAGCAGCCCAGAGCACCTCCCTCTAATCTCTGTCCTGGAAAATATTAAAGACGGCCCAATCAGGAACTTTAATTTATACACTACCATAGGTCAATAAGTTCTGGTCACATGGGCTTTCCACTAGAAAGGCTATTTCTATGTCCTGAATGGTAAAAGTTGTCCCCAAAATAGGTAAGTGAGTTGTTATTCATTTCACTTGCTTTTATGTGGCTTGGCAAATGTTAATCAGTTATCAAACAATACACATTTATAAAGCACATATTCTGTTACCGAGCTAGACATTCTGGAAGTTCCTTGAAGGGGCAGGGCTCCAGAACACATCACATGGAATGTTGTCATCTGCCTTCTTTTTCTCACTTTACCCATCCAACCCCTTTCACAGATGAAATGAGGTTAAAACAAACTTCACTGATGACCTTGGCTTTAGAGGGGAAAGCAAGGCCCAAAAGAGGTTTCCTGGGGAATGAAAACAGAAGAAGGGAGAACAGCCCTGCCCATAGGGCCATGGTGATAGAGTGAATGGGTGATTGAAGGCGACGTGATTATTACAACCTCTGGTCTTCTTTACAACAGAAGACCAAGCTCTATCTTATCCTTTATCCAACCTCCACCCATCATGAACTTCCTTCTCCCTTGCCTCTTGGTGCCATTGTCCAGGAGATTGAAGTAGAGCATCACATCCCACACCTAACCACCAAGTGCAGTGCCTAAGACAAGACATATTCCCTGACCTTACAAAACATACCACCCTTAAAGAGTATGTCTCTAGTTGGGTGGGTAAAGTGAGAAGGGGCTCTGTTCTAAATGCAGGGTGCAAACTGGAGTATGAGTCACTATGGACAGGCATTGAGCTGATCCTTAAAGCAGACAGGACTTAAGGCAGAGCAGTGAAGCAGACGTAGAGAGTGCTCTGCCCTCTAGCAGAGCAAAAGACAACAGTAGGAAGAACATGGGACCCTTGGGATCTGTGAATAGACAGCACAAGCCTATCTAAGTGGCTTTCCATGCCACCATGATGCTGGGGCACCGTTCTGCTAATGCTCCTGAGTATGACGGACCTTCCTCAAACAAAAGCTGCCTGAGCACAATGACTGTGACTTTTAGGAATTTTCTTAGGAACACCCAAATATGAGCATGCTGAATACGGCTGTACGCAGTTTTACTCGTAAGCCTCTATGCCCTCAATTTCACAATTCATAGTTTCTGCTTGGCTCTCTAGATGTCAAATGCAAATGTCTGAGAACAACTCCATGATTTTCTGGGATGGAAAGCTGCTTCTATCCCTGTGCAGAGATATAACCAAGCCAACAGGGCAGCTAACACAGAGGAGGGGACAGGGAACAAGCACACAATGTTTAGACCAATGAGATGACTCTGGACCACAGAACTCTTCAGGACCAGTTGAAAAGGACACAGTGAGCATCTGAGAAGGAGGCAAGTAGGAAGACCTCGGCACCATACCACAGTCACCTGCATGAAGTTCTTGGATTACAATGCTCCCCTACAGAAGGCTCACTTCTTCTCCAAATAGCTTTTGGGGCCTAAATCAAGGTTTTTCATGGCTCTGTAGTCTTATTCCATCAGAAAAGACCTTCTACTTCTCTACTTCTTGTTACTTGGTTGAAATTTTCATTCCATTTTCCTGCTTCCCTGTATTGTCAACTCAGAGGGAACATTTGCCCTCTGGATGGGGCAGAAGTATAACTAACACCTTTGAATTGCCAACAAGTGAAATGGCATTGAGCTAAGACTTCCATTCTCAGCCCAAAAGTTTATTTGACCTCAGGCTTCTGTGTTTGCTATCTCAATAGTCTCTACGGAAAATCCATCTTTTTCAGGTCCAAATATCTTTTAATATACAAAAAGTAGCAAGTGGAGAGAGGGGTGAGGAATGGCCACCAGACAAACAAGCATAACACTGGTTGAAAGCATCAATGTCTCAATATCCCAGTCTTCTGGTTTTCTTTGTTCATAAACTGATCTTATTCCACTGATAAATGTGACTATAGTAATAATTAATAACTTGAGAAAAGTTAGTGTGACACATCAGTAAGTGCTTCTTGAGGGTGGGGAGTTGGCCTTAGTCATTGCTAGCACCTACCATACACCTGCCACAAATAAAAGTACTTAATAAATATTGAGGGAATACATGATTGAAGAAAGGCAAAAACTGAGTAACTTAAAACATATTCTACATGTCAAGGACATAAATTCTTAAGGGACACAAAATAATGAAGAGATTTCACCTCTAAAACTGTGGAATAAGCATAAAAAAGTAAATGAAGCATAAGAGAAAGAAAAAAAATAAGGAGACATGGATCAACCAAAAAGTATAACACACTGGCAAAAAGACTGTGTGATAGTAATAACTGCTGTCTCAATTAGCTGAAGGACTTCAAGTAGAAATGAAATTGTATAGCTTTGCATTACTCTAGAGGGTTGAACTAAGGTCAACAAGCCTAAATTAGACAAAGTCAGATTTCAATTACATAAAATAATTTACTAACAATTAGATCTGACCAACAATAAAATTAGCTGTCTCATGGAATCATGAGCACTTTGTCACTGAAGATAAGAATCACCATCACTCAGAGATCATCTAGAGGCAATTTCTGCCTCAAGTGGAAAGTTAGACTAAATGGACTCTAAGATCTCATTCATAACTAAGTTTCTACTAATCTAAAACTCTGTGGTCAAAAGTGGGTAATATCAAGCAAAGCAGACTTCCTGAAAGAGGGAAGTTTGGGGTCAGATTGAGAAGGGGGTAACAGAGAATGGTAAATTAGTCTAGTTTAGAAACACAGGTACATATTGGAGTGTAGGGTCCAGAAACCTCAGTAAGGGGAGGAGGATTAGAAAATAATCACTCTGACAGTATAATTGGTCTCAGGGACACTTTAAGGTCCAGAGATATTATTCTCAGAAACATCTATTTAGAATAAATTGGAGCCTTCCTAAACTGGTAGGTAATCCTAACCTGAATCAAATTTAAATGGGAAAATCTTATCAGATATTTGACAGGTTGAGGCAATATGGAGAAGCAATAGAGTCGCAAATTAAAGGAAGACAATAACAAGGCAAGTCTCACCCACAAATCTGCAACCAATTTGAAATTTATGAAGGGTGATCTCTGAGCTGCCTTGCCACAAAAGTACCCATCCTGGCAGCTTGGGGCTCCTGTCATTATCGAACCAGGGGTCATTATTTTATGAATCCCATATTGTAGTTGAGCCAGATAGACAACAGCACCTTCTTTCATTTCACTTGGATAATGGCCAGATACAAGTCACTTTACTATGACTTAGAGTATTGTGCCCATCTGTTCACAATTGATGGGAATAATTGAGGGGTGGAATGTGCCAGGCACTCTTGGACAAGCTACAGAAGTGGGCTAGGGGCTTTCTTGGCCATTTGCCATGTGACAATGATTCCCTCATCTGTGAACATATGGAGTAGATGAAACTGTCACTTGGAGAGCATGGTACAGCAGAGCTTGGACCATTTCATTTTCACAAGAAACTGTACATGAGTTATAGCAAGGAAATAGCTTTTACATCTTGATTACATCATGAGAAATTCTTCCAAACTTGTGACTGTGTAAATTCTCTTAGGAGAATCTGGCCTTGTGCCCCAAATCAGAAAGAAGTTATAATTGGATGTCATCTATGTCCACCATCTTGGATTTAAAACATGGAGGCAAATCACCCCAAAGGAGAAGAGTGGCCAGGGGATGTCCTGAGACCACACACAAACCTCCGTTTTCCACCTCTCAAGATGCAGGAGTGGTGGGGAGCAGGAAGAAGCCTCAAATATTTGCTCAGACTTTGCAAAAATTTCAATGATTGAAAGAAAGAAATCTGACCAACAGTCGCTGAGAAAACAGTTGAGGTAATATTGGGTTACAGGTATTTCTTAACATAATATTGAGGAAAAAAATAAAGGAATCCTACTGAAAAATCCTTCTGATTGATATATATCTTTTCAAGTTTGGAAAATTTCACTCATGATTAATTTTTTTTTAATAGAGAAAAAAAAACAGAATCATTAAGTTGAGGACTGGTAAAAGCAAGGAAATCTCTCCCAATTCTTGGCCAGACATTCACAAAACCATGATTCTCTCCTATTCAACATTTTGTATTTCAAGGCAAACGATGAAGGCAAAACAGATGTTCCTAAAAGGCAACCTAGAGTCAGAAGAGAATGTTAGTAGGTAAGCTGTCGAGATTTGGGGGTATGAGGTGGTAGAGTCACCTCCTTTTCCTCCAAACCTGCCTCAGAGTCAGGACGCAAACCAAGACGCAGCCTCTAACTCATGGAACCACTCCTGCTCAAAGCAGAAACACCTAATCAGGACAGCCCACTCCTAATTAAGCAGAGCATCTGATGGCCTAACTCTGAATCATCCAGGCTCTTAACAACACCTCTTTACTCCTCCTAAGTATTTCCCTGCCACTCACAGGGGAATCAAAGGCAAGGAGTAGAAGAAATTGACTCCAAGTCATTTTACTTTTTGTGGGCCACTGTGTTGAAAGCATTTCTAGGAAGGGGGATTATACTGTAAGTTAAAATGAGGTGTTTGTGTTTCCTCTGGACCTCCCTTAGACTCCCTCAAATGTCCAGGAATAAGGAAGAGTGGGCCTGGAAGACAGTGACTGCCTGCACTGCCAGGCACGGCACCAGAGCCCTCCACCCACCACATCACAGCTTCCTCTCATCTGTGTGACAGCTCAAGGTCACCAGCTCATGGAGGCTTGCTCATTCACTACACCATCTCTGACCTTGGGCTTCCTCCTTCCCTTCAAACTCTCCTGTCATCATGATAATCAGTATCTTTGAGTCATTTCATGTGTAGTTGTCTGTTCTCATGATTAGAAACTAACATGAAAGAACAGAGCAGGAAACTTGTAATCCAAGGTCCTAGATTCAAGGCTTGTTGCTAGGAAGCCATGGGCAAATCTCTTCACCTTTTTGAGATTCAGTTTCCTCATCTGTAAAAGGGCAATGATAATCCTTGCTTTACTGATTCAGAAGGCTATTGTGGATTCCAAATGAGATAACCCATGTGAAACCCTTTTGTAAATTGTAAATCATCCTATTTCTGTTGCTGGTACAGAGGCCATGTCTCTTCCTTATACTCCAGGTTCTGAACTAGGGTTGTACCCCACTCTGTAGGCTCAGCAAGATTTGGTTTAAATGCACTGAATGCCTTGTCCCTACAACGTTAAACGCAAACCCTCTCCCACGCATTACCATATACAGGTATACCTCAGAGGTATTGAGGGTTTGGTTCCAGACCACCACAATAAAGTGAGTCACATGAATTTTTTGTTTTCCGAGTACATATAAAGTTATGTTCACACTATGTTGTAGTCTATTAAGTGTGCAATAGCATGTCTAAAAAACAATGTACATATTTTAATTAAAAATATTTCACTGCTAAAAAATGCTAACAGTCATCTGAATCTTCAGCAATTCATTATCTTTTTACCGGTGGAGGGTCTTGCCTCAATGTGGATGGCTGCCAGAAATCAGGATAGTGGTTGCTGAAGGTGGGAGTGCCTGTGGCAATTTATTAAAATAAGACAACAATGATATTTGCCACATTGATTGACTCTTCCTTTCATTAAAGATTTCTCTACAGCATGTGATGCAGTGTGATAGCATTTTTCCCACAGTAGAAATTCTTTCAAAACTGGAGTGAATCCTCTCAAAACCAGCTGCTGCTTTATCAACTAAGTTTACAGAAATCTTTTGTCATTTCAACAATGTTCACAGCATCTTCACCAGAAGTCAATTCTATCTCAAGAAACCACTTTCTTTGCTCATCATAGGAAGCAGCTCCTCATCCATTCAATTTTCATCATGAGATTGCAATAATTCAGTCACATCTTCAAGCTCTACTTCTAATTCTAGTTTTCTTGCTATGTCTTCCACATCTGTGGTTACTTCTGCCACTGAAGCCTTGAACCCTTTAAAGTCATCCATGAGGGCTGGAATCAACTTCTTCCAAACTCCCATTAATGTTGATATTTTGACCTCCTCCCACGAACCACAAATGTTCTTAAGGCATCTACAATGATGAATCCTTCTCAGGTTTTCAATTTACTTTACCTAGATGTATCAGAGGAATCACTATCTATGGCAGCAATAGTCTTATGAAATGTACTTCTTAAATAATAAGACTTGAAAGTCAAAATCAGTCCTTGATCCATAAACTACAGAAAGGATGTTGTGTTAGCAGGCATGAAAGCAACATTTATCTCCTTGTACATCTCCATCAGAGCTCTGGGGTGACCAGGTGTATTGTCAATGAGCAAGTAATATTTTGAAAGGGATCTCTTTTTCTGAGCAGTGGGTCTCATCAGTGGGCTTAAAATATTCAGTAAGCCATGCTGTAAACAGATGTACTGTCATCCAGGCTTTCTTGGATTCGGGATTTGGGGGAATGGTAAATGAGCATTGGGTTCAACTTAAAGTCACCAGCTACATTAGCTCCTAACAAGGGAGTCAAGCTGTCCTTTCAAGCCAGACAGTGACTTCTCTTCTCTAGCTTCTTCCAATAGAAGGCTATTTCATCTACATTGAAAATCTGTTGTTTGGTGTAGACTTCTACATCAATTATCCTCTAGATAACTTGCTTCAGTTTTTACATCAGCACTTGCTGCTTCATCTTGCATTTTTATGTTGTAAAGACTGCTTCTTTCCCTCAGTCTCATGAACCAACCTCTGCTAGCTTCAAACTTTTCTTCTGCAGCTTCCTCCCCTCTCTCACCTTTCATAGAATTGAAGAGAATTAGTGCTTTGCTGTGGATTAGGCTTTGGTTTAAAGGAATGTTGTTGCTGACTTGATCTTCTATCCAGATCGCTAGAACTTTATATCAGCAATAAAGTTGTTTCCCCTTCTTATCATGTGTGTGTTCACTGAAATAGCACCTTTAATTTCCGTCAAGAATTTTTCCTTTGCATTCACAACTTGGCTAACAGTCTAACACAAGGCTTTCTGCCTATCTTGCCTTTTTTTTTTTGAGATGGAGTCTTGCTTTGTTGTCCAGGCTGGAGTGCAGTGGCGCAATCTCGGCTCACTGCAACCTCCGCCTCCCATGTTCAAGCGATTCTCCTGCCTCAGCCCTTGAGTACCTGGGATTACAGGCACGTGCCACCACGCCTGGCTAATTTTTGTGCTTTTTGTAGAGACTGGGTTTCATCATGTTGGTCAGGCTGGTCTCAAACTCCTGATCTTGTGATCCACTCACCTCGGCCTCCCAAAGTGCTGGGATTACAGGCATGAGCCACTGTGCCCGGCTGCTATCTTAGCCTTTAACATGCCTTCCTCACTAAGCTTCATCATTTCTAGCTTTTGATTTACCATGAGGGATGTATGACTCTTCCTTTCACTTGAACACTTAGAGGCCACTGTAGGATTATCAATTGGCCTAATTTCAATATTATTGCGTCTCAGGGAATAAAGAGGCCTGAGAAGAGAGGGAGAGATGAGAAAACAGCTGGTAGGTGGAGCAGTTAGAACACACACAATTATTAAGTTTGCAGTTTTATATGGGCATGGTTTGTGGTGCCCCCAATCATAATAGTAACATCAAAGATCCCTGATCACAGATAACCATAATAGATATAATAATAATGAAACAGTTTGAAATATTGTGAAAATTACCAAAATGTGACATAGAGACACGAAGTGAGCACATGCTATTGGATAAACAGTGTTGATAGACTTGCTCAATGCAGGGTTGCTACAAAACTTCAATTTGCAAAACATGCAATATCTGTGAAGTGCAATAAAGTAAAGTGCAATAAAGTGAGGAATGCCTATACACTCAGAAGTCAAGCTTTCATGCATATCATTATAAAAATGCCCACCAAGAAGGCTCCTGCAGTCTGGCTTTGTGCACCCCTACATATAAGACAGGAGAGCAGATCAGGACCTCAGAGTGTGCTGAAGGACACAATCACAGCAGCAGAGTGGAATTGAGCCTCCACCAGCACTGCAGACTGCACTGGTATATCCAGCTCCACTGCCCAGAAAGCAACTATCTTCCATGACAGCCAGGAATTTTTTCTCTTTCTCTTTAGCACCACCACCTGCAGAATTTCCATCACAACCACCGCAGCCAAACTCTCTGGCACCACTCATCTCACCATTTGGCAAGTGCAAAGCCCAAAATTCTCTCACTGGGACTTGTTTCTAGAGTCATAACTAAAATCTCTGATTGCCCAACAGAGAGCACCTGGGAGACCAAAAGGAGAAGAATGCTATGTGACATCTGAAGCCACTAATTGCCCATCTTCCCTGAAGCAATGTGCTGACAGTATCCTGTCCTTTTTTCTGAGTGTCTGCTAACAGGTCTGCCTGTGATTAGGAGGAGCACTTATACTGCTACTAAGTCACTCTGCACCTTCAACAGCTGACACCTATAAGCAGCTCCTTTGTTTTACAGTAAAGCAAATTCAATAATTAATGGCCTTATGGAGAATTCCAATCCACAGCCTCTTTGAACAGGGCTGCAAAAGCATCCCCAAACTGTAAAATTGTTTCTTCAAGTAGAAATAAATCACCACTTCTTGCATTTTATCATACAACCAGGTGCCATGGGCCCCAGAGTCAACCCTTCCCTAATGGTCTGATAAAGGAGATAAGAAATAGCTGAGTGCTCATGGGTGACTTGTGCAATATTTTACAAATATGAGAGAGAAATAAATAACACAGTACTGTAGACATGGCAATGATATCCTCTGAAAAACTTAAAATGCCCTCTCCACTGCCACCCAATTTCTGTCATGTTTTAAATATCTAACTCAAGCTTGACTTCTTCCATGAGGTAGCTTTTCTCTGATTACTCCAGCCTAGAAAAATTTATTCATTCAATATTTCTTTATTGAGCACCTACTGTATACCAGACATTGTGCTAGATTCTGGAGATAGAAAATATAAACAATCAAAACCTCTATCTGGTGGCTACATTCTCTAGTCTACTAATAGAAGTACTGTTTATACTCCTGCATCTTTCACAGATAGCATCTCCTGGAACTCACATTACTCTTCATTTTACAAAATAATTATTAACATGTCTTTTTAAGTAGCCATTTCTGATTTCTTTTTTTTTTTTTTTTTTTTTGAGATGGAGTCTCACTCTGTTGCCCAGGCTGGACTGCAGTGGCATGATCTTGGCTCACTGCAACATCTGCCTCTCGGGTTCAAGCAATTCTCATGCCTCAGCTTCCCAAGCAGCTGGGATTACAGGGTGCACCACCACGCCCAGCTAATTTTTGTATTTTTTTTAGTACAGATGGGGTTTCACCATGTTGGCCAGGCTGGTCTCAAACTCCTGACCTCAAGTGATCCACCTGCCTTGGCCTCCCAAAGTGCTGGGATTACAGGAGCATTTCTGAATTCTTTTATATTCTGCTAAGAGAAGGTGCTGCATAAATACACATTGAATGAATAGTTAGCTAATTATGTGAAAATATATATATATATATATATATATATATATATATTTTTAGTATTCCTATCTGGATTGTAAGTTTCTTGAAAAGTAGGGATTCTTCTGTTCACATTTCTGTATCTTCTAGACCATCAGCACAGTTCTAGGCACATGGCTCATTCTCAGTACATACTTAGTTAAATTCAGTAATTCTGCTAGAAATGGGAGTTCCTATTCTACATTTATACCATTAATCGCACTCTAGATTTAGAAAATGGGAAGTCTAAGGCAAAGGAAAACAAGATGGTCAGTTCTAAGTGACAGTCCCCTCAACATGCTCGCTAAGCTTTCTCTCTGACCAAAGCACTGTGTTTTTGAGAGAGGAATAAAGTCATATTTCATCTGTGGGGATTTACCTAAACCACCTGTGGATTGCAAGAAGAAAACCAGAATGGAATTAGAGCAGCAAGGCTGACTTTGGACAGCAAGACCACCCATAGAAACATCCATCATGTGACCCACACTGGATCTGCCTGCCAAAGGACCATGAACTCAGGAGTCAGAGCCACCTGCCCTGTCGGGGGAACGGCTACAGCCCAAACCAGTCCAGGAAGGCCTGGGTATCCTCATCACCCCATGTACCCACACTGCTGTCTTTTGTTTCAGCCTCTTGAAATCCATCTCCTAGAATAGCCAGTTTTGCTCTGATAAGCCACAACTAAGAAAGTCAGTGAACTGGGGCTGACCTCTGTGGGGAGATGGGTCAATATCCTCTACTACCTTAGGTGAGATTAGATGGATTGATGTTGTTCTCCCAATCCCCAAGGTGTGAGCACACCATTAGCATTGGTAAAGCATACCCAAGCAGCAGCCCAGGAATGGCATCAGGACATCCGTGTATCACCCCCAAAGGCATTAACCTGAATCAGAGCATTCTAAGTTCTAGACACACTTGAAAGCTGTCTCAGGGTTTGCCATCTGAAAATTCAGAGAACTTACCCTGAAGCCATCCTCCCTACTCCTCAAATTAGAAAGTGCCCCAGGACCTTCAAAATCAACCTTAAATAACAAAAAATTAGACAACATTTTCTATTCCAGACACAATGCTAGACCATGCTTCAGTCCTACCCGATCTGAATGATCTGATCCCTGCTCATGTTGGGACAGCCTGGAAGTAGTCCTGCCTCCTCCCCCATCCTTGCGATCTGAGACAGATCCTGAGGAAGCTGCTCTTGGAAGCCAGCAATGGCATTTAGTCATGCAAAGCAATGAGCTGACTTCATTTTCCTCAATAAATATTTCATTGAGATTCAGAGAAATAACAGAAATCTTACTCATGAGATTTATGTTTGTCTTAATGATTCACAGCATAATTTGTTGCAAATTAAATATTTATTTTAATATCTTCTTGGGTCTGAAAACTTCTGTCCATTTATCAGTGAGTCTTTGTACCATCAGTCCCCTCACAGATGTGAAGACATTGGGAACAGTCTAATTCTTCTCTGAAGTGGGAGTTTTTCCTTTCCAGCTCCCTCTTAATGAGGAGCCTGCACCACATCTGTGCAACAGTTGCACTGTCTCTGACACATCCCCCAGGGCCCTGTCAGTCAGCTTCCACTCCCTGTTGCCTCTCGCCTTGCAGGTCTCAAATCTACACACATTCGTAAAAGGCTTACCTGCTCAGCTACCTCTCCCACCTCTCCCAGCCACAGAATCCCAGAGACACTCTCTGTAAAACAAGGTGGGGGTTGAGAGAAGGAAGAAAGCTGGGCTCTCATTACAGTATGATGAAAAGGAGACCGGAATTGGAACAAAGAGCTCTGAGTTCAATGTCACTACTCCATGGACATACAGTCTTATGACAGTCACTTATCTGGCCACGTCCTACTTGTAAAATGGGGATACATATACTGCTGAAAGACTCAAGTGAGATAGATGGTGGACATGCTTTATAAACTGTAAAGAATGACAACTACCTGCCAGAGTTGTGACAATTAAATGAGAAGACGGATTTCCAGTGTTTGGAACAAATCTGGTATATAATAAATGTTCAAGTAAGACATCGTTATAAAAATATGAGAAATTAAATATGTTTACTTTTTTTAGAGTGCAATGACTATTTAGGCCTCACTGCCTGGCATTTACATGTGGCCTAAGGGAACATGTCCCATGACTCACATAGAGAGATGCACAGAAGTCTTAGGAATCTCCAGAGCCCACGTGAGGGACAGAGGGCTTCTGTGGATGCATGGAAGTGTCTCCTGCAACTCCACGGAATGCTTCTGGGGGCTGGAAAGTTGTACTTTTTAAATGTTCACATGTATATCTTTGCAGTCTCCTGCAGAAACCCTCTCTCCCACAGAGATGGCATAATCCTAACTAAGTTGCTAAAACTTCCCTAGATCCTAAGAAAAGCATTCCCTGTTTACTTCACAGGGAGTATAGTCTAAGCCACACACCCCCATCGGCCCCAAGAACAGCCCCCTCCAAGTGGCAGCCAGAGCCATCTGCCATCTGTAGTCCCTCTGTCCTGTCCCCCAGCTGCGAGTCCCACCACGTAGTCTCCCTGAAATATGGCCCAGGCACAGATGGAAGTGTCTCCTTCATCTCCACGGAATGTTTCTGGGGGCTGGAAAGTCTGACAGTCACCCTGAGGGAAGGCACTCTCCTCTGCCTACCTCCATGCCAGCCCTCAGGGAGGTTTCCTGGATGATCCCTAAGAGGAGGCAAGATGGATCTGGGAGGAGGGAATGAGTAGATTCCCAAGACAGCTTAAAACCCAAAGAGATTTTACGTTCAACATTAATTAAATGTCATTTCTAAAATTTTTAAATCCCTGGCACTGTGAGAAAGATTTACAATGCTAAAGCAAAAAGGGCTTCTGAAAAGTAATTATAAAGGCTTATAAGTTAATAATGGCTTTGTACCTTGTACTACTACAGCTAATTCCATTATCTTAGAAACTAAAAACTAATGTTCAGTAACTTGGTGAATGCCTCAATCTGAAGCTTCTGAAAGAACGGTGCCAACAGCCTTCTTGGCCACCACATCATGTTAAGTAATTCTCTCCTCCAGGAAGCCATCCCAGAATATCTCTCACCAAGTCTGAGTCATCCATTCACTCTAAACACCACCCACCCCACTCCCCCGACACACACACTGCCTTAATGTTCCTCTACTTCTTCCGGAAGAATCTTAAATTAACACAAGAGTGCATTATTTTAGCACCTATAAAAGGATCAGCTGAGTGATATTAGCCAAAAGGAATGAATGAACTGTTTAAGGTGTCAAAGCACTACAAGGGTCAGAGAGGTTCTGAGCAGGAGGCACTTTTGTAGCATCCTTCAAATCACACCAATTCTGTCTTCTCCAGAGATGACCCTTAATAAATGTTTAGTTATTTAAATATAAAATAATTTGCTGATTCTCCCCACCCCCAGAATGTTCAAGGGAAAAAAAAAAAACACTGTTTTTCTTTTCCATAAAAGAAATTCCTAGTATAGACCCCTAGCTCAGGGCAGCAGGTCAACAAAATACACTTGACCACACACCAGCCAGTCCCCCCTTCTCTCCCTCTGAGCTGATGCAGATCAGAAGGAAGCCTGCAAGGTCTGAAATCTGACCTTCCATCTGCCACTTGATCTTCCATCTGCCACTTCCCCAATTCAAAAGGGGCTAGGGGCTGGAGGATACAGCAAGAAAGATCTCCAGGGATCCACTTGGTGGTGAGCAGATGTTAATTTGGACTCCAAATAGGATAGAGTAACTCTGCTTCAAAGCAAGAGGCCTAAGGTCACAGTCAAAGACACTTTGGTGGACAAAGGAGATTCCAAGATGTTACTGAACAGTCCAACATCTGACTCTGCCTCCAGGAATCTACAGTATAGGTACAGTAGTCTCTCCTTATGCGTGGTTTTATTTTCCACAGTTTCAGTTACCTGTGATGCAATATAATAAGATATTTTGAGAAAGAGTGATACCACAGTCACATAACTTCCATTATATTGTTATAATTGTCCTATTTATTATTAGTTATTGCTGTTAATCTCTTACTGTTCCTAATTTATAAATTACAGTTTATTGTAGGTATGAACATACAGGGAAAAAACATAGTATATTTAGGATTCAGTACTATCTGTGGTTTCAGGCATCCACTGGGGATCTTGGAACGTATCCCCCTCAGATAAGGGGGAACTACTATATTCTCATCATCATTTCTGGACAGAAGAGAGGAAAGGATACAAGACTTAAGATAAGAAAAGCTAGATTAGAACCTAATTATGCATACCATTATCCAGGCTGAATGACTTTGTCAAGTCACTTAACTTATTTCAGCCTCAGTTTCCTGATCTGTAAGATAGGATCTATACTATTTTGAAGGTTGAGATAAGCACTTAGGACAGTTCCTGGCACATAGGAAGTACTTAATCAATATAAAAAAAATTACTTAGTGATAATACAACCATTATCAACAGGCCACATTCTCCAAGTTCTTTTTCCAGTACAAGGACTAGATTTTTACTATCTGTCTATGCTATTTTTGCTGGCCCTTGCATGACTAATAAAATGCTACTAAAAGACTACCAGCTGGAACAGAAGATGTAGTCTCTAGCCATGACCAAAGAGAAGATATCTGGCCACCAGAGGGAAGAGAGCTGGGCTGCAGCCTTGGCCTCATGAATATAACATCCAGGCCAACTAAGCCAGCAGTACCATACGGATATTCTAAAACATCACTGTCACTGTAAGATAAATATGCACCATACCCTTCATTTGAGTACAGAAGTTTTAAGTCACCAAATTTGATTCTTTGTGGACCATACACTGATAAATAGATCTTATCTTTAAAAATGCATCCCCATTTTTGTTGACAATCCTGTCTCCCACAGTGAGAAATGTTCCTGGAACCAGGGTCTGTTTCAGGAAACCAATTTAAATTCATGAAGCTTCTGGTATTTATGATAAAATGAAAGTAAATCTAGTTGAAGCAAAGACCTACATTCCCAAGACAACTGACCATTCATTTATTAGTTGCTGCCCCTAGCTAACACCCAAACCACAAGCTGCCGTTGCTCGACCTCCCTGCAGGAACCCTGGTCATTCAGAAGTACCAGGGTGAAGCTGAAAAAGAAGGGGGAACAAATAGCTTTAAATCAAGGGACACACCCTCTACAGCCAAGGTCAACACCCAGGAAGGGCAGCAGGGCTCGGACAGTGGCAGAAAGACTCCACCCATACAGCACTTTGAACAGAAGCTCTCTTCCAACTGGAGGCATAGAGCTAGCTGCTAATCTGACGGACGCCCAAAACAGAGAAGTGGGTAAAAATAAAATTACGACTGCTCCCGTGAGAAGGCCAGGAAGAGAACATATCGAAACAATCATGGCCTGCAGCCCTGCCTAACACCAGTGCTGCTAAGTGACCTCAGCCAAAGGCAGGAAATGATTGATCAAGTTACTTTTCTTGCTCAAAATATCCCAATGGCTGCCCATAGACTACTGAATAAAATCCTAGCATGGGACCGAAAGCCCACCCAACCAACCTTTCCAGCTTTCTCTCTCAATATTCCTAATCTCCTTCATACACATTCACAATGTGTATAAACACACATCCACCACATAAAGACTATTTCCCAAATTCTCCCTTCTTCTCTAGGCCTCCTCTATCTCCACAAGCCCAACTTTTACCCATCCTTTAAGGCCCTTTCAAGATCAAATCCACAGCTGAAATTCTCCTCCTCATTTTCTCTGCTCCCATGGCACTTTCTAACTGGGTAATGTCTTCCCTTCACTGTCATTCTCATGAAGACAAAGATTCTGCCTCTCTTGTTCACACTCATAATAGTGCCTGCACAGGGTAGGCATTCAATACATATTTGTTAAATTGGGGAATACTACCTCACTGACGGGAAGTTTCTTCTGTGACTTGAGTTTCCTAGCCTTCACCAGACAAGACATCCCATTAACAGAGGCAATCCAAATTCCACTGGCTTTGGCCTGATCTTCTTCCTCATGTTGCACCTCAGCCCCTGAAAAGTTTCATCTCACTATGTCCAGGAGCCCCACTCATATCTCCCCATGCTCATTCCTGCTCACAAAGCATTGTCAGCCGTACCTGCCATGTCCTTCCTCTGCTGCTCTGGCTGCCCGCTGTTGCTGGAGGATGCCTGGGGTGCCCTCTGTGAGGACACCAGTGTCGGATCCAGAGTGCTTGCTCCAGGGTTCTCAAATCCCCAATATTCCAAGTGCCAAGTAGCCTGAGTTCCCGAAGTCTTCACTATGCCAGGATCAAGCCTTGATGGAAGCTAAGTCCATCTTCCCCACTGTGTTCACAAGATCAGCATCATCTGTCCCCATATGTCACACAGAGCCCTCATGAAAACAGCAGACAGCTCCTTCAACTTTTGCACAGGGTTCCTCTCCTCAGGGCTCAGATGTGAGCCCACGGCATTGGCTAAAGAAGAACCCCTGGGAAAAAGAGCTCATGGTATCCCCAAATCCCATTTCTCTCTTCCTCCCATCCAAATCCATCATACAAACAGGTACCAAGGGGTGCTTGCCTCTCTGATGAAATGGCCAGAACATATCCAAATGCCGATAATGGCCACTTTGAAGACTGAAGTTACACTTCTACCTCTACATAACTGTTCTTCCAACCTGCTCCCTCAAGCCTGGTCCCTCATCCAGCTGCCTGAGGTGGTGACAAAAGGCTGCCTTTTAACCCTTTCTCTTACCTTTCTCCTTTTAAAAATATTTCCACCCAGGGCCTACTCTCTACCCTTCCAGCACTACCAAAGACCCTGTTGCCTCAGCTCCTTCCTTTCTGGGTTGAGACAGATATTCACCATGGCCCTTGGATCCTTCTCTCCTTAAGTGGTTGATAAGAACGGGTTTCTGAAGATACTGCCCAGAATATGATGATTTATCGATGCTGACGCCTTCTAATGCCTGCCAGTTCATGTATTTATTATTCTGGGCTGGGCCACTCAAGCTCTTAATCTTAGGAGAAGGAACTCCAGTGAGGCAGGATGTACCTTGAGCCTCGCAGGCTGAGCCAGCAGGAGATAGCAGGGCACCTGCCCCCTCTGAGGCAGCCCAGCTCAGCCACCTGGCCAGTAGTCTCCAGGTGAGGAGGCGGGGCCTTAAAAGAAACTACCAATGGCTTCACTCCTGCAGGAAACATATCCCAGTCACAAGCAGGTACACAGGTACAGCCTGAAGCTGAAGTTTCCCCCAGGGCCTTGGGCCACACTTCAAGAGAAATGGAAGTTAGTCATCGACTCTCTTCCAATTCAACTTTTGATTATCCTCTTTCAAAGCCCAGATCCTCACATGCATATTCTATCTCCGTACCCTTTCAAAACCTGCCTTCCTAAGCCTTCAGTCCCCAGAGCACCTTATAACCACTCCACCATCCCCTTCTCATCCAAAAGTTAGATTTTAGGCAATACAGGTTAAGAATTAATAACTAACACTTATTGAGCCTTTAACATGCGTAACATCACCTAATCCTTACAATAACACTATAAGGTAAACATAGGATATTATTGGCATCTTACAGATGAGGAAACCAAGGCCTAGAGAGGCTGTGACATGCCCAGTGTCACACAATAGTAAGTGGTAGAGCTATGAGCTAAACCAGGCTGTTTTTATTTCAAAGCCTCCTCCCACTTAACTACTCAGCATACTGCCTGAAAAGCAAGCCAATCAGCTAAACAAACCTCGTCACTGGGCTTGACACATCCGAATTTATTAACTATTTTTCCTTTGGTTTTTTTAAAGGAGTCTGGTACATAAATCAACAGCTTTAACTGGTGGGATTGAAGAATGAAACGGCATGGAGGTAATCAAAGGAGACATGCAGTTATGTAGTACATGAAAGTATATCTACAAGTACATGTAGATACACTTTCAATTCACTTTTACCCTACTTGTCCCCACCCTCCCCCAAAACCCAGCTGTACTCAGCTGCTCGTGACCAAAAATATCACCCCATGCCTACTTTCAACCTGCTTGGCACACTTCCTTTGGGTATCTTCTTTGAGGGACTTTCAAGAGCTAGCAACCTGTGGCAAATGACAAACTAGGAAGGGGGACTTCTAAGATGAGATCAAGCCATAGATATAGGATATGGAAAACAGAAGGTGGAAAGATGGACCCCAAACCTGTGGAAGGCTAGTGTTCAGGAATTGGACCTCTGCTCATTAGATACTCCAGTGGTGCAGTTGGGGACAGGCAGGATAAATTCCTATCTCTCTCTGGGGCCTCTTGTCCAAACAGGAGGATCTGGTTTCTGAACTTCTGGGAGCAAGCCAGAACTTGGAAAAGATCATCTTTGTACCTTCATACCTCGCCTTCTGTGGTCTCCTGCTCCCAGGTAACAAAGGCAGGTATATTAGATCAAGAAAAACCTTCTGCCCTGCTAGGGAAGGGATGCTCATGTTTCCAAGTTTTTGGAGGATTCTTTTTTTTTTTTTTTTTGTGAGATGGAGTCTCACTCTGTAGCCCAGGCTAGAGTGCAGTGGCATGATCTAGGCTCACTGCAGTCTCTGCCTCCCGGGTTCAAGCGATTCTCATACCTCAGCCTCTCAAGTAGCTGGGACTACAGGTGTGCACCACTGCACCTGACTAATTTTTGTGTTTTTGGTAGAGGCAAGGTTTCACCATGTTGGCCAGTCTGGTCTCGAAATCCTGACCTCAAATGATCTGCCCGCCTCAGCCTCCCAAATGCTGAGATTACAGGCATGTGCCACCGTGCCCGGCCAGGATTCTTAAGCCTTAATATTTTCTTTCTTCTGCAAACTGCAGCCCACCTCTACCAGGAGCACTTGGAAGGACCCAGCTCATTCAGTGGAATCATGACTGCATCAGATCTATTCCTATTTTGTACAATATGCATTTATAGAAGTAATTTGTAATATGATTAAGTTTGGGGAGTGAATTTCCAATAAAGCCATTCTTCCTGCTATATATCTTTTTAATATTTTTGATTAAATAAATTTATTATATTTTGAACACAGAGTATCCCAAATTTTTCCAGTTTTTAAGTTACAAAGTGTGTTTTCAATGAACATGCCCCCTATATTTATGAATCCTTTCTGTATTACGTTTGGCTCTATATTTTCTTGCACCATTCAGAGCACGTAGGTCTCAAAGTAGAACAAGAACCATGACTATGCTTCTTAATCTTTAATCCTGAGCACAGACTGTGATAGACACAGTTGGTTGCCTACCCAGTGGCCATTAACCCCCTTCTTCCTTGCTTACAGACCCACATTTTGTTAAGAAATCAAGCATCCATGTGCTTCAGGGGACGCAAAGACAACTTCAGTCCCACAGGGTAAATGCTGACTACATTACACCAATCACGGAAATTGCATCCCCTTCCAGTGACTTGTTTTGGAATTGGTGGCAAAATAATGGCCTTTGAGACATGAGGAAACATCTCCTGGAGGACATCTGGGAAAGGTTTTCTTGCTTTAAAATATATGCATGAAGAAACAGGCTCTTTCAGTTGTTATCGGTTCTGCATGTAACATATGGAGTTACGGCAGCCATCTTGGGACTATCAGGATGGTAGAATGGAAAGATGTAAGGTATTGGGGTTCTAAGATGGTCTTTTCTTGTAGTGGCAGGCTGGGTGATTAGGACCAACCTTCCCACTGAGGACAATCATTTATATTTGTTTTTATTTTCTCAAAAGCATTAAAGAGCTAACAAGATAAAGAATTTCTAGGTCAAAACCTAGGAGAAGTTTAAAATCCAAAGAGGAAGGCCCAAAACACACAAAAAAAGCTTTTGCCTTGAGAGCATTTGCCAATCTGCAAGAAACAATAGTATTTAGTTTAGTAGCAAAACTAAGCTGTGCTTTTGGCAACCAGGAGGAGTAGGAAAGCAGAAAGCAACATCCAGGGCCTCTGCCCCAGAAGACTTTGATAAACAACATTCACTCTAAGCTAGGCTTCCTCTCAGAGGGGAAGCTTCACCCTCAAGATAAAGGTAGCCTAGAATAAACTAGCTGTTAATGCAAACCTGAAACCCAGTTGACTGCAACCTAGGTCGAAGGAATCTTAAGCATTTTGTTAAGGTAGAACTGGACTGGTGGTATCCCAGGGGCTGTCAAAAGAAAATAAAAATCATTGCAGAAGAATGTTATCATTCTTGGCTTCAAGGCCAGTGATCAAGATACAAAGATAAAAAACACAAGGAAAAAGTATACCATGAAGAAGGATCATCAGGAATAGCAGAATACAGAAAGAGACCCACATTTGTGGTAATCATTTCACAATGTGTGTGTGTGTGTGTGTGTGTGTGTGCGCGCGTGTGTATATATGAAATATATACATATATACATACATAAAAATGGAATATATTTACCATGTACCACATGGTATATATATCAAAGTATGATATATATGTCATATATATATCAAAGTATGATATATATGTCATATATATATCAAAGTATGACATATATGTCATATATATATCAAAGTATGACATATATGTCATATATATATCAAAGTATGACATATATGTCATATATATATCAAAGTATGACATATATGTCATATATATATCAAAGTATGACATATATGTCATATATATATCAAAGTATGACATATATGTCATATATATATCAAAGTATGACATATATGTCATATATATATCAAAGTATGACATATATGTCATATATATATCAAAGTATGACATATATGTCATATATATATCAAAGTATGACATATATGTCATATATATCAAAGTATGACATATATGTCATATATATCAAAGTATGACATATATGTCATATATATCAAAGTATGACATATATGTCATATATATCAAAGTATGACATATATGTCATATATATATCAAAGTATGATATATATGTCATATATATATCAAAGTATGATATATATGTCATATATATATCAAAGTATGATATATATGTCATATATATATCAAAGTATGATATATATGTCATATATATATCAAAGTATGATATATATGTCATATATATATCAAAGTATGATATATATGTCATATATATATCAAAGTATGATATATATGTCATATATATATCAAAGTATGATATATATATGATATGTATATCAAAGTATCATGTGGTACATGGTAAATATATTCCATTTTTATTTGTCCATTTTATCTCAATAAAGCCAGGAAAAAAAATCAACCCATAAAGACTTCAGATAATGGAATTATCAAACAAAAAACTATAAAACAAATAGGCTTACTATGCTCAATGCTCAAAGAAACAAAAGATAAGCTTGAAAGTATTTTTCATAAAATTGGAAACCAAAAGAAAGGTGATTTGGGAAATAATTAAATAGGGAAGGGATTTTAGCACTAAAAAATACAATAATTGAAATTAAGAAGTTAGTGAACACATTTAATTGCAGATTAGACACAGCTAAAAAGAGAATAAACTGGAGGATATGTCAGAGGAAATTATCTAGAATGCATCAAAGGGAGATAAAAATATCTAGAATAATAAGAAATATAGACTATACAACGAGAAATTGCAACATACAATCAGTTGAGATCTCAAATGGAAAGAAGAAAAAGAACAGAGATAATAACTGACAATCTTCCAAAAATGACGAACTACAACATTTTATAGATTTAAGAAATCTAATTAACCTAGGCAGACTAAATAAGAAAGAAGCTAGTGATGATGTTGAGCCTCTAATTCAATTGCCCAAATTCTAAACTTCTTGTTAAGAGAAGCAGGAGAAGGAGAAGCAGGAGGAGAAGTGAAGGCAAGAGGAGAAATGCATTTATTGCTTATGCATTTTGAGTTTGGGTTGAATTACCTGCAGCCAAAAGCATCCCAAATTATATTCATGGTGAGAATAAAGTAGCCACCAATTATTGAGTGCTGACTATGTGTACATACGCATTTTGTGTAATCCCCTGCAAAGCCTTATGAGGTAGTATATTATCAGCCAAGGCAGGCTAGGTAAGCTACAGATACAAACCACCCCCCAAATCTTAGTAACTTCACAGAAAATAAGATTAATATTTGCTCATACTACATGTTCAACTTGGTTCAGTAGAGAGCTGTGATCATCATAGTCACTCACAGTCCCAGGCTGATGAAGGATTTATCCCAACAGAGCTACAATCAATTAAACAATGGAAGGAAGTAAACAGTATATTGGCTTTTAAAGCTTCCACTTGGAAATGAAATACCTGACTTCTGCTCACGTTTCATTGGCCAAAGCAGGTCACATGACCAAGGATGTAGAGAAGTACAATCTAACTGTGTGCCCAAACATGTAGGCAGCTAGAAGTACTTAATGAATGGTACTAATGACTACCACAGGTAGATATTATCCTAATTCTCTGAATAAAGAAACTGAGACTCAGAAAAGTATTTAGTCACTAGTTAAATGAGTCAAGAATATACTAATTAATACATTTTCCTGGAGGAGATATTAACATGACTATCTGCCTTTTGGTGGCTGGAGTAGTGAGAAGAGAAATGTACCAGTGATATGATCTCTAAGGAGCCAAGCAGAGTACCCAGTTGGGTCTTATCCTTGGCTATCCCAGAATCACTACCCCCAGGGCAGAGTATGGAACCAAGGTAGCAAGGGGCAAATATCCTAATCCTTCCTTTGTTCCTTGTGCTAAGTGGAGCCTTCCCTGCAAGGATAAGACTGGACTGCAATTGGCCAAACAGACAGTATACACATATATGTACTGTGGGCTCCCATTATCTTATATATTCCAGGTGTTCAAGATGTGATTAACAGAGTGAGGGGCGGAGAAGCCACATAATCAGATTGGTCATGCCAAGCTTGTTAACTCTGATCTGTGTAGGTTCAGAAAGCTTGCCAAAGCAAAGGAGACCCATTCTGTCCAAACACAGAAGGAGCTGTCTTGCTCTCTTAAGTCCTCAAGACCTTCCTATGAGCTGGATTTTCCAGCCTGTAATGTACAGAACATTCCCTACCTCCTTCCATACCTAATGATGACACTGTCTACCTCCTCCCTCCCAGCACCCCACATCTGTTGGCAAGCTCTCTTGGCTGCCCTTCCTGCTATGTATGTGCTGCCTCTGCCAGCGCAGTCCAGCCTCCTCCAGACACAGCAGCATTTGTCTGGGATTCTCTCCCTGTGGCAGGGAAAGAGTCAACACCAGGGTTCTTACTTATTTATTCCTTCCCAGGCATGAGGCAGCAGTTAAGGAGAAGGGAGTTAAGGACAGGGAGGACAAGGCCTAGAAAAGAAGCTCTAGGGGGCCAGGTTGGTGGGGAAAAGTCTCTATAATTTCAACTGCGTTCCAACCACATTGTCTCTAGCTGAGCCCCCTGGGTGAAAGGTCTGTATATTACCGAGGATGGGAGATTGTAGTCTTAATTATGTCTTGAAGCATTTGGCTGTGTTCATCCTGAAACTTCCAACAGGAAAAAAAAAATGTGGTTTCCATTACACTATCACTGAGGGACTTGTACTGGGGTTGGGATCATTAAAATGAAAACACTGATGAGTAAGCCATGGCATTTTGTCTCTAAGACTTAACGTCCTTCCTCCACCCCTAGCCCTGTACTTTATTTTGAGACAAGCTTAAAATAGTCTATAAAATATGGAGCTCATTATCCCATCTAACAGATTTCATTTAGCATGAAAGTAGATTAAAAGCCCCATGCCAATTATTCCTCCTATCCTGGGTTTATAAGGAAGATACTCCTCTGGGTTCTTTAGAGCACAATTCTGCAACAGCCCAGGAGAACCAAGAAGTGCCACTTGCAACCCCACTCAGCTTATTTTTCATAGTGATAACAAGGAAGGATAGAGAAATGCAATCCTGCTTTTGGAGCTTCTTAGAAATTTTGCCTGGAGCCTTTAAAAGCTGAACCCAAACCAGATAACCCTCAAACACATGAATTCTCCATTCTGTCCACATACAATGACTACATCAAGGCTACTGAGCACAGTAAAGGGGTATATATCGGGGAATATAATGGAAAGAGGTCTCAATTTGGAGTTTTTTATTCTGGCTTCACATCCAGGCTCAGCCGATAATTGTATGACTTTGGGGAGTAAAATCATTTCTTTGAGCCTCAGTTTCCTCATCTTATCTCTTCCAACTTCATCTTTCTTATTTTCCAGGTACAGGTGTCATCTCCTCTCCACAGTCTTCTCCAAGGCCCAGCACAAGGCTTTATATAGAAGGGAGGAGGAACTGATGTCTTGATTGCACTGACAGTACCCTCTGAGCTGGCCCTTGGAGGTGAGTTTGATGATAAGAGTATCCAGGTGAGGCTCCTCTCCCTTGCTGCTATACTTTTCAGTCATGGGTCCTCTCTCAGTCCCCTCAGTTTTCTCATGTATACAATGAGAATAACACCCTCCCACAACATCACAGGGTCATCGGAGGTTTGAATGAAGCAGTAAGCACCTATCCAAGGTCTTGAACTATTCCACCTCTCCAGTCTGAGCTCATGACACTGCCTGTTCTTTTTTAAGAATATCAGGACCATCTGAACTGCATTTCCTCATTTTTCACTTTTTCTACTTAAAAATCATTTTCTAAGCACTCTTTCTTCCTTCCTTACAACAGAGGAAGTGTTCCCCCTCCTCCAGTCTACCACTTCCATCTGCACTCTTTGTTCAATCCATTCCTACCTCCTCCAGGTCACTGCTTCACTTTAGAGCACTTATCACAAGCTGTTATTGCAAATTCAACTGTTACTTTGACTTGTGTATTGTCTGCCTTAGTCACTAGAATGTAAACTCCATGAAGATTTCATGCCTTATTCATGTTATATTCCAGCAAATAGCACTGTCCCTGGAATACTGTCAGTGCTCAATGAATATTTATTGAATGGATAAATAAATTCATTTCTGTTTGTCATCTTTAAACTTCTATCACTGGTCCCTTACCCCAGCCTCAAACACATTCAGGCCTTCCTCCTTGAACAAAATCATCACTTGACCCTAATGTCCCACCAACCACCATTCTATTTTTACCTTTCATTTTCTGACATATTTCTCAAACAAACAATATGTGCTTGCTGCTACCTCATCTTCACCACCTCCTCCCACTGCAATCTGGTTTCTTCTCATTGAGGTGCTGAAACAATGCTGTAAGTAGTCACCAATGCCTTCTGTCACCAAAGCCCTCAACATTGCCTCCTCTCCACGCACATGGAGCTCCCTAACTCTCCTTCTCCTCTATTCCCACGAAATTATTATGTCCTGGCTCTCCTCCTACCCTTAAGGAATACTCTTCGTATCTCTCTTATCCTGTCTCCCTTGTCAATACTTTCGAAAAACAGTCTACACTACTCTCACTTTTCTCTATGCTGTCTTCCTTGAGCTAATACCAGTTTCACCATCACTTCTTGGCAAATGACTCAAAATATTCATCTCCTGCCCTGACTTCCCCCTAGAAACACAAACCTACTTTAATGCATGAATGAATCAGGCATCTTGTAATCATCTAAAACTCAAAGTTTCTAAATCCCTTTACCAACACCCCAAGTCCTACTCATCTTTTCAGACTTTTAGTGTAACAGTTGCCACTCCTCAAGTCAAACCTAAGCATGAAAGCTTCAATGACCCTTTAATATGAAGAGTAAGAAATCCCTGTTGCTTTCTCTGACATTATCTTTTACATCCTTCTCTTCCTTCCTCTCCATAGGCCAATGCTTCCTTCACATCCATTTTCTTTTTCTCCAGTTGTCTTTATGCATTCAGATTCATCTTTAAAGAACATGACCAGCACCAGGCTCTTATGCTCAGAAGTTCCCCATGACCCTTGCTCCCTCTTGTGTGCCTTACCTTCCTGATACACTGACCTGCCCCCTTTTCTTTAGCTATCCATCCCCTTCAACCCACTTTGTGCTTCTGCCCATGCTTTACTGTCTAGAATGTTTGGCCCCACCTTCTCCACCAAACAAACTCCTATTAATCCTGCACCCCAAGCTGAACTATCAGATATTCCGAGAAGACTTACTTCTCCAACCCCTCTAGGCAATTAGCTGTTCTGTCCTCTGTGATCCTATGCAAGCCTAGGTAATTGCACTTACCAGTTTTGTTGTAAGGTCCTTTTTACACATCTGAGTCTCTCCTTAAACCATATGAACCCAGTAGTACTTAGTCTACTGGCTGGTACCTTGGTACTGCTCAATACCTTTTCTAATTGAATGCTACAACTCTGGAACCATTTGCCCTTAACCCAACATGCCAATGCAAGAATCTTCACAAGGTAGCCCCAATCTGTCCCTCCAACCTTAACTCTTATCACACAGATGCTCCAGGCAGTCTGATTTAGTCTTCATTCCCCAAGCACACCCTGTATTTGCTGATTTCCATCCTCGTAATTCAGGGCTACTAAAGCTTAACCCTGTTCTCTCCTTTTTATCCTGTCATTGCATTATCTATTGTGTTATTTGTTATTGTCTACTTCCCCCATTGAACCATAACACTTCACGAAGACAAGAAGACTGTCTTCTTTAGCATTGTATTTCCAGAGCCTTGGGTAGAGCAAAGCACATAGTAGGACCTTAGAAGACATTTGTTGAATACATGAACATTTCTTCTTTCATTCAGACCCAATTATTTCTCTCTTGTAAATTCATAGCACTCATCTAGCAACTTAACATGAAAGAGTACCTGCGGCATCACAAAGATATATTATAGGTATTATAGGTAAATATTTTGTAGGTATTGTCCACACAGAACCATGAAACATTAGAGCTAGAAGAGCTCCCCCTTATAAGTATCACTTGAAAGAGGGCCAACAGAGATGCAGAGATGTTACTGTTGATTCTTTTTTTTTCTCTCTCTCTTTTCTTGGAGATGGAGTCTCGCTCTGCCACCCAGGCTAGAGTGCAGTAGCGTGATCTCAGCTCACTGCAACCTCCACCTCTCAGGTTCAAGCAATTCTCCTGCCTCAGCCTCCTGAGTAGCTGGGACTATAGTTGTATGCCGTCACACCCGGCTAATTTTTTGTATTTTAGTAGAGATGGGGTTTTACCATGTTGCCCAAGCTAGTCTCCAACTCCTGAGCTCAGGCAATCTGTCCACCTCGGCCTCCCAAAGTGCTAGGATTACAGGTATGAGTCACTGCGCCCAGCCTTACTGTTGATTCTTGATCTTTCAGGAGTTTGAATTGTAAGCTCCCTAAGGGCAGCGAGCTTACACCTAACCCTAATCACTCCCTGCTCTACCTGGACCCTTAGTAGAGTCTATTACTACTGCTACTAATAACAACAACGATACTAATTGCTTTGGTGTTTTCTTTGATAACAAGCCACCTCTGTCCACAAGGTGAAGAGCAAACCCATCACTTATACTGGGGATCCAACTAGCCTTCTGAATATCCAGGGACACAGCTGTCCCACTGCCCCTTGGTTCTCAGCAACCACTGAGTATGCCACCACAGAACAGGCCCTGGGAGGACATGCCATATCTGGGCAAGTGCTGCTTTACTGTTCTCACATCACAGTAATCTCCACCCCACTGGATGGAAACACCACACCGGGACCTCACAAAGCAGCTATCAGTGTCCTTCCCCTAGGACTTGGCCTAGATACATCTTGCCTGGGTAGTTCACACCACAGACAAGACATCCCAATGATACGCTCTACTACCTGCTGACAGGGAAGGTGGCTGGGCTCCCAGTTTAACATGCATGCTGGAGAGACAGACAGATGGAGCTCTTCCCATCTGTATGGCAGCAGGTAGAGGGGGCAACCCATCCTAGACAGGAGTCCGGGGTCCTGGATCTTGACTTTTCCCTTAGCAGCTCTCTGACTTTAACCAAGCACTTAATCTCTACGAGCCTGTTTCCTATCTGTGAAACGGGAAGTGATATGATCTATCTCAGAAAGGCATAATGAGAAACAAAGGGGTAAGATATTTGGAATTATCAAATAATTACATTTATCTTTTTCCTCCTTAACAATGCTGTGATAATCAATGGTTCCCTGGAGAGTTCAGATACTCTGTTAGCCAAAGTTATTTATTAGGTTTCCTATTAGGATATAACTTTGAATTAGGTATCTAGGTGAAAATACAAAGGATAGTGGGGACAAGGGCTTGCCCTCAGGGAAACTCCACTCTTAATGGAGGGAAATTATCCCTGACAAGAAACTAAGATTCCTAAAGCTGCAAAAATTCAGAAAACAAGCACATACTTACTGAGTACTTACTGGTACCAAACACGGGTCACACATATTAGCTCCTTCAAGGCTCACAACAACCTCCTGAGGTATGTATTATTACTACCCACAGGAGCACATTGTGAATTACAGAACACTAGCCATGCACCTAGTGACCACGAGTCTCTGAACGGAACCAGGTACAGTCAGGGGATATTTTTCTGGAGGACATCAGGGCTAAGAGGTTGGGAGGGAAAAGAATGTGGATTAACTATAAGAAGAGGAGGTTTGGGGCATTTCAAGAGAAAGCACAAGAAAATATGAAGGTTGCTGGTGAGGCTCTGGTATAGAACAACAGGGAATTGTTCTGTGATGGTGTTTCAAACGGGTGTGTGTTCAAACTCTTTATTAGACAAGAGGCCTGGTCCCTTTAGTAAAGTGATCTTGTGCCAAAAGCCAATTAAATAACTCTAATAGGTATATATACATAGATGACTATAAAAGCCAATTTAAAGTAACTTCTTTATGTATTACCTGAATATTTGGCTCAAATGAGAAGGTGATTAAAACAAACTCCTCTAATTAGAAAAACCCTAGCACAGCAGAATCACCCAATGTGCTTTTCATACACATGCTGCGTGCTTTTCTCTTCTTTTTCCCACTGAATATAAGAAAGAAGGAACAAGTCATAAAGGTTGGCACAAAGAACCCACACATCATGCTGGGCACACATATGCAATAGTTAACAAGAACAGGGTAAGCCAGACCACAGTGGGTATCCAGAGTCCATGGCAGGCTAGGGACCAGTTACAAGCAGATGGCCTAAGCACAGATACCAAGTCTGACCTGGTTAGGGGCCAGAGCTGTGCAGATAGCTGAGCAGCAGGCAAGCCAATGACAGAGCAAGTCAAAGACAGGGTATCTGTCAGACATAGAAGATGAGGAGCCAGAAAAAGGCTGCAGGCATGGTGAGGATGAGAGCGAGGAAAAGGAAAGCACAAAGATCAGGGTACCCTGACAACCAAGACCATGAGGTCCAGCTGCCTCTTGACTTCTTGCACCTGAGCAGAATCAATCCTTGACTTGGAATGTTTGGGAGATTTGAAAGTTGAGACAACAAAGAATGGCCAGACAGGGAGAGGTGAACTTTAGTGACAAACCCAAGTAGATTCCTGGTCAAAGTAGAGCCCAACACCATGAAGCCTTGAAAACAGTTATTCTCCTTACCTCCCATTTATCCTGAAGGCAGAAAACGATTTTTCTTTCTCTAATTCTGGCAGAATATGGACAATGCCCACCTAATGCCTTCCTAGTATGAGTTATACTAACCAAGGAAGGAAAGGTTTTTGACATCTACAGTGACAGACCACCATCCCTACCTCCAAACCCCTCAGCAGCCTGAACTGAGAGCAATAAACCCAAAGCAAGCTGAGGCCAAACAACCTCCTGGGACACAGGTCAATTGCTTTTCTGGGAATATGAAGGAAAGTCAAGGTTTATCTAGAAAGTCATTGAAAATGGTTGAAGTTTGTAAAGACAGTTGCATGAGGTGTATCCAAAAGATTGCGTTCTTACACAGTTTGTTCCTTAGCAATGTTCTATGTGTTCTCCTATGTTTACTATTCCCATGTAGTGACTTGTTTTTCGTTCATTTTGTTATTTTGCAACAGAGTTCCTTTTGCCCTTACTCTCTGACATCCATGTTAAAGGATGACAACAAGCAGTTCTCAACTCTGGCTGCCATTAGAATCACCTACAGAGGTCTTTAAAATGCCAGTGTTTAGCCCCCTTTCCAGCTATTCCAATTTAATTGGCTGGAGGTGGAAGTGGGGGTGTTGAAACAGAGGAACTGGACATTACGCTTTCTAAGAGTTCCCAGATGATTCTAGCATACATTGAGAGGTGAGAACAGCTGGTTTCTGGTCCAGAATCCAAAACACTTTGTGGTAGCTACAGGAATGTTGACAGTCCCAAGAAGATAATCTCATTTGTCTACTTTTGTTTTTGTTGTTTGTGCTTTTGAGGTCTTAGCCATAAAATATTTGCCTAGACTAATATCCTGAAGGGTTTCCCTATGTTTTCTTCTAGCAATTTCATAGTTTCTGGTCTTACACGTAAGTCTTTAATCCATTTTGAGCTGATTTTTGTATAGGGTGAGAGATAGGGGTCTAATTTCATTCTTCTGAATATAGATATCCCATTTTCCCAGCACCACTTATTGAAAAGGATGTCCTTTTCCCAATATATGTTCTTGGCACCCTTGTTGAAACTAAAAAGCTTCTGCACAGCAAGGGAAACAATCAACAGAGTGAAGAGACAACCTGTAGAATGGAAGAAAATATTTGCAAATTGTTAATCCAACATGGGACTGATATCCAGAATATACAAGGAATTCACGTAACAGCAAACAAAACAAAACAAAACAACCCAAATAATCCCACTAAAAAGTGGGCAAATGATCTGAATAGACTTTTTCTTTTTTTTTGAGACTGAGTCTCGTTATATCGCCCAGGCTGGAGTGCAGTGGCACAATCTTGGCTCACTGAAACCTCTGCCTCCCTAGTTCAAGCGATTCTCCTGCCTCAGCCTCCTGAGTAGCTGGGATTACAGGTGCGCACTGCCATGCCCAGCTAATTTTTGTATTTTTAGTAGAGATGGAGTTTCACCATGTTGGCCAGGCTGGTCTCGAACTCCTGACCTCAGGTGATCCACCTGCCTTGGCCTCCCAAAGTGCTGGAATTACAGGCATGAGCCACTGCACCTGGCCCGAATAGGCTCTTCTCAAAAGAATACATACAAATGGCCAACAGGTATATTTTTTTAATGCTCAAAATCATTAATCACCAGGGAAATGCTATCAAAACCACAATGAGATATCATCTTACCACAATTACAATGGTTATTATCAAAAAGACAAAAAATAAAAGATGCTGGTGAGGATGTGGAGAAAAGGGAACTCTTATACACTGCTGGTGGGAATGTAAATTAGTACAGTTGTTATGGAAAACAGTATGGAGGTTTCTCATAAAAACTAAAAATAGAACTACTATACAATCCAGCAATCCCACTACTGGGTACTTATCCAAAAGAAAAGAGATCAATCAGTATATCAAGGGATACCTGTACCCTCATGTTTACTGCAGCACTATTCACAATAGCCAGGATATGGAATCAATCTAAGTGTCTATCAATGGGTGAATAGATAAAGAAAATGTGTTATATATACACAATGGAATACTACTCACCTATAAAAAGGAAATCCTGTCATTTGCAGCAACATAGATGGAACTGAAGGTCATTATGTTAAGTGAAATAAGCCAGGTACAGAAAGACAAATATTACATGTTCTCACTCATATGTGGAAGCTAAAAAAGTTCATCTTACGGTGTAAACAGTACAATGATAGGTTGGTGAATGGGTACAAACATATAGACAGAAAGAGTAAGTTCTAGGGTTTGATAGCACAGTGGGGTGACAATCATTAATAACACTATATTGTATAGTTCATAATAGCTAGAAGAGAAGATTTGAAATGTTCCTAACATAAATAAGAAACGTTCGAGGTGATGGATAGCCTTAGTACCCTGAATTGATCATTACACATTGTATGCATGTAACAAAATATCACGTGTACCCGTAAATATGTACGATTATTATGTGTCAATTTTTAAAAGCATCAAGAAGAAATTAGAAGCCTAATTCAGCATATCACTTAAGTTCAACATGTGAGATGCTGACATAATGACAAACATCAGTAATTTTTGTACTTCTGTCACTATTTTAACCATATCCACATACCTCCTACACTGTTGTTTCCTTGATATTAAGTTGACTCTTTTTTACTTATGCTTCTTTATAAAAGAAATTAGTGGACTGCAAGGTGACATAAAAAGGTAGGAGAAAAAGAAAAAAGAAGATCATGGCTGAAAGGGAAAGGCACTCAGGATTAGAGGCAAGGAAGACAGGTAGGCGCAAGTCCAGGATTGGAGACACAGGATCTGTGGGGCGAAGGTGGCCCAGCACAGACATAAGAAGGGATGGAAGCTGGGCAATTAGTTAGAGGATAATAGAGAAATGCCAGGGAATGGGGATACTTGTAGCAGGTAGCATAAAGCTGTGCCTTGAAAGAACACAAGGGACAGACAATAGGCATGAGGGCCAGGGAGGCTGGAGACATACTGGGGCCAAGAAACTAAGGCAGGGCAAAGTGTGAGGCCCAGGCAGGGATGCCAGAAGGAGAAGAGGGAGACCAGAGGTAGGAACGAAGAGAGAGCTGAGGAATGGGTGGGATTAAGGAGGGCCCACAGTGAATGGGTGGGGCAGGAGTGGACAGCCCAACAGAAGCAGGCATCGGGGAAAACAGATTGTCTTCTGGACTGTGCCAAGCAGTGACCAGCAAGAGAAGCTCAAGAAACATCTGTAAATCACCTAAAATCATCTCATGTACTACCAGTGGTGGACATTCCCACATGCTGGGAAACACTGCCTGATGCTCTGTGAATAAAGAGCAGCAGTCTTTCATTCTTCCCATTACCAAAAAAAATTACATGTAAACAAAGGAACGTAAACCCCTACCTTACTTGTCAGGTCCCCATGAATACACCAAAACTCAACAACAAAAAGCAATGTGACTTCTTTTATATACAACTCATGCTTCTTATCTCTATGAGCTCTTTTCTTTTGATAGACAGTCCCCACCATAGCAACCATCTCCTTAGTCAACGTCTATAAGCACAGAATACAATCAGCAGAATTGGCAAACGCCCAGTAACAAACACCACAAAAACAGCATCTATTATTAAGGAGAATAAATCATCAAAATAATGTCTGAACAAGCTGGTAGTACACTGTCAAATAAATTCTTGCATATAGTTAAGTATAGCCCTAGAAACAATACCCTTTATTTTTTAAATCCTTACCCTTAGCTGAACAGTGATAGGGGAGACAAAAGATTAGTCTGCAATCATCAAGCCTACGCTGTTATTTCTTTGTAAAGTTTATTTCAGCTCCATGATGTGTTCTAATGTTTCCTGCCTTTTCCTAGGTGTGTCAAATCACAGATTCACTTATCCTCCAGTCACAGCCAAGTGAGTGACTCAGGCCAGCATACAGCTCATCCATTATTTCAATTTCCTGGGATAAACTCATCAGTTCCCACTTCTCATTTCCTATCCCCTCCTTACTTTCTTGAGGCCTGTTACTTTCAAGATGACATAAGGCACGACAATGATGAGGGCAAAATGATATAAAATCTTCAAACAGATCAAAGGAGCTAAATTCTGTTACACTTAAGAAAGATCAAATCTAAGGGAATTCTGTTCACTGCCCAGAAAGGCAGGTTCATCTTTCATTCATTTACTCATTCATTCCTTCAACAAATATTTATTGAGCATCTTTCAATGAGCTAGCTCAGCCTAACATGCCACTTTAAAGCATGCCATTTTCTATGCAATGTTAGGTAACATTCGTTACAAGAGGAAAGTTGCTATAACTGAAAATTCTTTTTGAATATGGATGTGGGTATGCACACATGTGTAATACTTTAATACTGATTAACCAGAACTGGGCAACATAATCAACACCCAACCTCCAAACACCTGGAAATCAGACACCCTACACAGTCAAGAGCTACTGGTCTAAAACTTCACATTAAGGAAAACCCTATAGATAGAAATACACATAAACTTTCAAATTACAGCCATATGTGGTGATCAAACGTGCATGGAAGACCACATAATTCTTGCAACCAGCTTTTGCTATCCAAGGTGACAGGTTAATCTATCAACCCATAAATTCATTAACCTGACATTTCCAAAACGCCTGACACTGTATATGCACTAACACAATAAATTTCCCCCAAATTCTATGATGTAGGCATTATTATTAATATTCCAATTTTTAAGATTAACAAACTGAGAATTTGGTTAAGTATAGCCCTAGAAAACAAGACCCTTTATGTTTTAAGTCCTTACCCTTAGCCATTTATTCAAGGGCACTTAGAAGGCAATGGAGCCAGAACTTGAGCCTAAGTTTGTGACTCATGGATTCAAGCATTTCTAAAAGATAAAAATAAATTGGTAGTATTATAGCTTATACATTAACATCTAGTTTCTTCTTATAATTAGCATCATATGGTAGTGTGAATCTTGTTTAAATTCATGTAAGTATAAATTGTCTCTAAGCCTCTAACCATTCTTAATTGGACTTTTCTTAGTTCCCGGTTATTATATACCACCTGTTCCTGTCTTTCCCAGGATGTTTGTTGGAGAGTGAGAATTAACTGCCTTGGTAATGAAAACTACCATTTAAAGAGTACTTTGTTTGTGCCATGCACTGGGATAAGTATTTCACTTGTAGTTTCTCACTTAGCCCCTACGGCAACCCTCTGAGTTGGTACTACCATTATCATCATCACCCCTTTTTACGAATGAAGGAAAGAAGATACAGAGAGGTTAAGCAACTTGCCTGAGGTCACAAAGATAAGGAGGATTCACATCTAGTGGTCTCTTCTCCCTTCTCCCAGTCTATAATCTTCATCAGTGTGAAGTTCTGATGCCCTTCTTAACGCCCTCATCTCAAGTCTGGGCTCCCACTGGCCTGTTTCTCGGTGCTAGTGAGAAACTGCTTTTAGTGTGTGCTGGTTTGGTTTCCTCCATCTTTGATTTCTCCCCTGATAAGGGCCCTGTTTCACCTGCTCTGTGCAGCTGTCTGCTTCCACCTGGTATTGATCTCCCGGCACACCAAGACTATTCCTCACAGAGATGAATACACCTTGGGCTGTATAGCAAGGCTTCCCCAGGGCCATCTTTTCCATCAGGAGTTTGATCTCATTCTTGCCAAAACCTCTTAAAGAAGCCAAAGCTTTTAAAAATAATATTCAACATTTTAAAAAATCAATTACCAAACAAGTTCACAGTGGCTTTTCCTTACAAAAGAACATCTGGATTTGTGTCACATTATCAGAAGACTTTAATTGCATTAATATTTGATAAAATGTATTAAGGTCAGATTAACCTGAGAAATAAAACTGATTTTCTCTTTTCTTTCCACTAACTGCAAATTCTGTACCGGCTGTATCTGTAGATAATCAAAAAAGGGAGCTATCCTCAGGATAGGTAGTAATAGTTCTGTGAAGCTAAGAGGTGCATAGGGAGGAACTCAGTATTTACTAAGCACCTACTGTGTGCACCATATATGATGTTATATATTTTACATGTATGAATTAAATAATAGCTCCAGAGCAACCTCAGCACATAGGTCTTACTGTGCCCATTTTATAGATGGGTAAACAAGCTCAGAAAAGTCACATAAATCAGGCTAAGGTCAGTGGCAGAGCTGAGACTTGAGCCTGAGTCTGTTTGCCCCCAGCTTCTTACTGCAGGAATCATTCTCCTTCTGCACTGCTTCTCAGAGAGTTCTATCAAGAGCCCTGCAAGACAGGGCTTAACTTGTATTTGACTAGAGTACTGAGCTTGATGAAAAACCCAGCAAGAAATGAGATCCTGTTATACAGATGCTCCCCAAATGACCCTGTGCTCCCGATTCCCAGCTGGGTCATACATGTCCCCAGAAAAACAGCCTTTCTTTACTTTCCATGGGTTTGCTACTTGCCTCTGTTTCATTCCTTCTCTCTCTTCTTGACCCCCCTCCCCTCTCTGCTGTGTCTTTCTGCATGTCTCTTTATGTCTCTATGTGTATTTATCTCTCTCAGTCTCTCATACAAGCATACACACACTCAGGATACCTCGATCCAGCAGCCGGAGCAAGCGGAGATACCAGAGATACCACTGGTCCCAGAAGCGGTCCGTCATCCCACCCTGAACTCATCCTTCACAGCCAGTCCCCTCGGCAGAGCCTCATCCCACCACCGCTGACTCGAGGAGGCCGGAATCACTTGACGCTGGGCTCGCACACAGCCTGCTCTAAGCAAATGCCTGCCTGCAAAGACAGCCACCAGTCCTCCCACACAGAGGCTGACTGTGCCGGGAGCCGGTTTCACAGCAACAAAGGAACAAGTGCAGAACAACGCCGTGTGCAGACCGAGCCTGCCTGGACCCAAGGGGAGGTCGGAGATGCGTGGGAGGGAGTCAGGAAGGGTTTTCGCAAAGACGCGAGGTTTGCAGTGGTCTTGAGAATGAAAATCCACAGTCAAGTCCATGTCTTAAATTTTTTCCAGCATCTCCTGCCATCCTGGCCTCCATACCTCCCACACCAGAGGCCAGTGGCTCCTCCAATAGAATATGGGATGGGAAGCCAGAAGCTCGGCCATTTTGGACTTTGAGGCCAGTCCAGGAGCCTGGGAGCGTTACTGCCTCACTGCCTCACTGTAGGGACCACTGGCTCTCCTTGCCCAAGACTGCAGGACCTGCATGACTGGTAAAAGGCCACAGATCCTTTTTCCCTACGTCCCTTCATGGAACCTTTGTTATAGTAGAGACAGCATGGGCTTTGAAGTCACACAGTCATGGGTCCAAATCCTGGTTGCCACTTAATACTTGCCTGGCCTGGATCAAGTTTTTCAGCTCCATGTGCCTCAGCTTCCTCCTCTGTAAACCAGAGAGAACAGTATTTGTGAGCCTCAAAGCAAAAGAAGAATATAATGTTTCTGGTGTTGCACCTGGTAGATACTGGTAGATAGAAGGTTCTCCCTTACCTCTCAACCCCTCTCCCTCTTGCCAGACTCTCAGTTCCCCACACATTCATACATCCCACGGTTTTCTATCCCCAGGACTTTGCTCCTGCCCTTCCTGCCAATAGGATGCTCTCCCCACTCTCCACCTCATCATGGCCAAATCCGCCTAATTTTTCCAACAAATAACTCAAATGCCACAGAATCCAGGCAGACTTCCCTGATCTTCCTTCCTTTATATTTTATTTTTTTCATTCCACCTTCTCCTTTGTATATGACTCTTCTCCCTTACTTGCCCATAAACTCCATCTTTGTGTCCCTCAAAGAACCCTGAACTTCGCAGTTACTCGAGTGATTACTAACTAGACAAATGAACATGCAAGGGCATCTGAGTCCCTGATACAATGTTATTTTCAAGGCAAGGAGAAAAGTAAGCTGCAGAGACCTCAGCCCCTGGGCATTGTCTAAGGCCTTTGGGGCATGACGGGGTGCCCAGTCCTTGCCCAATCACAGCCCCTCTTACAGTGGGCCAGCCTGTGACCCAGGTGACTGGGAGTGCTATTCACTGAAATGAAACCTGAGGAGTCCCCAGGTCTAGGATGACCTTGTTCTCCAAGCCTAAAAACTACCCAACAGCCATCTGCACATTCATCACAGCTCTGTGCAGCCTAGGCCATGCCAGCAATGCCTTCTCACTGTCCTAACAGAATGGTGGTCTCCCAGGCCTCCTGGTCTCCATCAGGCAACTGGAGGCATGTCTCCCTCAGCACCAGCTCTTCCTTGGAACTTATACCTCCAAGATGAGAGAGGGTGCAGATTTCTGAAGAACTCAGACTGGGGAGGAGGCACGTCCAGGGGGTAGGAGCAAGGAGGGAGAGGGAGAAAGCAAGCAGAGTCACAACCTCCACCGCCTGCCCCTGCCCCCCAACTGCCTTGTGGTTTCTTCTTAAACGGCAGCATTGGGTCTCGGCAGAGACATCACCACCCAAGAAGCTACCTCTCAGGCTCTGTTAGCATTATTTTCTTATTACCTTAAATGGACAAGACTCCAGTGTGTAGTTAACACAAGAATGCAAACCCCTCCTCCTCCCTCCAGAGAGAAGTAACCCGGTGTTTCTCCCTTCACGAGTAACAAGAATCCATCGCTCACATGTGGCCAGTACTTTTTCGTTCACAAAGTACTTTCATAACTATCATCTCCTGTTTGCCCTGCAAGGTCTGTAGGATGGGAATCACTTTCTCCAGTATACAGAAGAGAAAATCCATGTTCCAAAAGATTAAATAACTTGTTTAAGGTCAGATAACTCGTAGGTGCCCATCTGTCTCCTCCCTGAGAGTTTCTGGGGCACTAAGAGATTCTCTGGGAAATTGTGACACGTTTCACTGAGATACGGGAGCCCTCACAGTAGGGCAGGACCTGGGGAAACACTGCTGTTTCCTAACAGGAACCCTGAGGGAGGCCCCTCCAGGGCAGTGCTGACATGCCATGGGCACAGGTTGAGTGGAGGGTCCAAATGTGGCCACTTATTAACTAAGGGCTTTTCATCTTTTTCTTTGGCCCCTGACTTATAACTGCAGAGAGAGTGCATCTCCAAGTAAGAATGCCAAAAAGGCTTTTTCTAACACAACTTGGGAGAAATCTGAAACGGGAGGCTCGCATCATGGCAGGAGACCTAGACAGAGAGGGGCAGGGGAAGAGCATCTGACTGTGAGGCAGAAAGTCCCAGAGAGTGCTCTAATGGTGCTAGTGCTACAAGCCTCATTCTTGGGGCTGGAGAAAGAAGCTGGCTCTGTTCCCCTCCCTCCAGTAATCAAGGGCAAAACATTCCACACAGTCTCATTTGCAGAGAAAATGGGAATAAAGACTGTCAAGAATAATATGGGTGCAAGCACTTCCCCCGCAAACAGACCTAAGAACATAAGCAATGCCCATTGGGTCAGCCCCAGGGTGAACCCATTCAGCCTGGAGTTTTACTCAAGATTGGCTTCAACCCATCAGGCTGGGCTCCTTGGAGCTCCCCAGCCCACCACTGCTCATTTCTCCATCTCCCACAGAGCCTCATAAGTCTTACTTGAAATGCAGCCCCTCCAGAAGTTGAATAAAATGTTCCAAGAGACTGTCAGCATTGCCATTTAACTGCAGTGCAATTAGAAAGGATATTGGCCAGGACACAGCCTTATTAGTAGGTTTTTGTTGTTGTTTTTGTTTTGTCTTATACAATGCTTCCACAGTGGCTCCTTCTTTCATCATGGTCAAAGCAAGCACAACTATTCCCATTCACGTGTTTCCTCCAGCCCACCCAGCTGGCTACAGAGACATGTTTTCCAGGGACAGGCAGTGACACCAGGCCAGCAACAGCCCATCCACTCCAGAGGGCTGATGCCCATCCGGATGTTCAGCAGTTATTTGATATCACAACATGGATGTGTTCCTTTCTCTTCGATGTTCCTTCTTCTTTCCTTGGCACTGTTCTTTCTCCCTCTCTTCACCCACCCCAACTTGAAAACACTGTGTTCCCAATCAGATAAAGCCAGCACAAGTGTATAGAGCAGAAGGCAAGCAGCACGGAGGGAGGAGAGATCCAACCATATCCCAAATCTTTCCCACTCATCTCCTGGGACGACAATGGCCACTGTCCCCTCAGCAGCACTGGCCCAACTCCTCAGACACATGGACCTATCTGGCAAGTGAAGGCAATACAGGAGGTAGCATAGTTGCTGGTATCTGCAAACCAAAGTGAAGACCGTCCACAGACATACTGATCTCCCTCACCCTGCCCCAACAAGCGGGCTCCACCCGGCTACCATTTTGACCTGCAAGCTGTGCTTCAGTTGTAACATGAATCAAACACTCCAGCAGACAGCATCCTCAGTCACCTCCCACACCACTTCTGTCCCCTTGGCGATTAGCGCCCAAGTGGTGGAGTGGAACCCGTGGCAACACATTCCCAGGGATACCATTTCAAGGGTGGGTTGGACCCCTGCCAGTCTCTCCCATGACAGCTTAGTGTCCCCAGGTGAACGGGCTTCTTAGGTCCACACCTGAGGACAGTATCTACAGCAAGTAAGTATCATCTAGACACTGAAATTCAAGTCCACCCTCCCAAGAGGCCCTTTCCAGCTAACCTCACACATTCTCTATCTCAGAGGTTCTCAAAGTTTAATGGGCAGCAGAATCACCTTAGACGGTTGGTTATCCATACAGATAACAAGGCCTCACTCCCAGAGGCCTGCATTTTTAACAAGCTCCCCAGAGAATTCTGCAATGGTGATCCATCCGCTTCAGTCCGTGCTCTCCTCTCCTACCCTCAGCACCAGCTTCGTGTCACTATCTTGAATTCTAGTGCGTACCCCACCTCCCCCAACACCCTGAGAGTCCAATAGGGAGGGAGATTCTGAGTCCCCCATTAGAGTATGCTCACCTGGAAGGCAGAGGGGCCTCTCTCCTCTCAAGGCCCAGTAGAGGGCCCCACATGGAGGGGTGAGAAGCTGCCACCCAGGAGGCTGAGAAATCAGCCTCATCTCTCCACAGGCTCCAGAAAGCCTTCGTTCTGCCACAGTTCCACTGCACATCTGTACAATGGCTTTAAATGTCACCTCAAATATCAGGCCAGGCAGCAGGAGGGAAAGGCAGAAGCTAATTATTCCTCCTTGCCTCAGCTTTTGTGTAGCTTTCATCTTGCTCACCTCCGACCTCTGCTGAGGATCTTTAACTCTGCCTTGGCTGAGGCATGCCCAGCTCATGGAAGACAACCTTTCACTGCCCTGGGCTCTAAACCACCTTGTTAAGTGGTGAAAACCTGATCCCTCCCTACCCCTTCTCTGGGGGCTTCTAGTTCCCCCAGCAGTCAATAGAACCCCCATGTTGCACTGAATCTCTAACACAGCATGTCACCCCAGTACCCCCCACTGCCCACACAAGAGCCAGTCCCCTCTCCTCCTTCAGGACCTTATAAAGCTCGTCTACCCTGGGCCCCATGCCCTCTCCACTAGGTCCTGTGAAAAGTACCATGACAACCTCATCCCATCCAAGGTATTTATGATGAGAGCTTAATATTTAGGCCCTCAGGAAATATTCCTATCTTGGCAAAAGATAAAGCCTAGGTCAAAGGAAGGCATAGAGGAGGGCAGGCCTTAGGTAAGCAGTGGTGGGGGTGGATATCTGCAGTCAGGGAGCAGAGTCCATGACTCCCTTCCCTAGGTCTTCACAGGCATGTCCCTGTGAGGCCATCCTGATGAAGTCAATCACAGAAGCTGGTGCACCTTCCATCCTCCCTCACTGCCCTGACCTCCCATTTCCTACTCAGCATGAACACCTGGTTGGCTGCCTTCCCCAAGGCACCTACATTGCAAAGGAATTCTTCCTGAAAAAAAAAAAAGCTGGAAATATTTGGAGAGACCCTCTCAGAACTGATCCATGAGGCCTCTGCAATCCAGAGTTCACTGTTACCTCCTCTGTTTCCCTCGCAGCCAGTCATGCAGTTCCTCCATCTCATTTCCACCAAGAGCCATTTCTCTGCCTATCAAAGGAGATGGTGTTACTTCATGGCCAACAGGAGGCCGTTCACCCCCCAGGAGGTTTGGCTTCTCTTAAATGTTCCTCACATCTCTCAGTCCCTGAGGTCACCATCAGAGAATCAGGAAGCTAAGTTGCCAGTTACCACAGCTGAAGCCTCACTCCTCAGCCCAGGCAGAGCCCTCCTGTGAACCTCTACCTGCTCTCTCCATCCCATGCCCTTCTCCATCCCCTCCAGGAACTTTTCCAGATAGCCCCCCTCAGCAGGTCTGCCCAGTAAAATCAGGCACCATACCATAGGACTAGGATTGATAATAATGAATGTGAAGTTCAACCATATCAAAAGGAAACCCCTGTATTGTCAAATAAATGCTAAATTTTGGTTAGCACATATCTAGAGCTCAACATTTTTTTTTCTACTTAGTCCCTTTTTTGCTTTAGTCCCTCGGGTATTTTTTTTTCTTTTTATGGAAAGTATACAATCTGTGTGTGTTCCACAGGGCCACCCACTGTTAAATCAGAATATCTGACTCACCTGAATGCCCTGGCTCCCTACATACACATCAAGCTGGATAATGAAATTACTTGCACACTAGCCAATTTGAATATTCTCTTCCTTGGCTCTTATTTTCAAAAAGAAAAAAAAAACTAGTTGCGAAGATCACTTTACTTTTCAACAAATGAATGCTGCTTATGGTTCTTAAAAATAATTGAGTCTCATAAATTCTATAAACCTTTTTATACCTTTTGTACCATTAATTTGCAAGCCTTCGAGGTACTGGGAAAGGGCTGAGGCTTTAGAATAACTTCCCACATCTCAGTTTCTTCATCTTTTGGATGGAGATAAGACTAATCCCATAAAACTTGAACTTTTCATGAGGAAAAAACAAAATAGCATATAAAATCCAAAGCACTACACTTAATACATAGTGGATACTTCATAAAGGTTAGTGCATTCTCCTGCAACAAAAACAAGCTCAGGTCACATTGAAATTCTCAATTCATGGGACCAGAGTTAAAGTCAAGTCACTACTCCAAGTTTCCCAGGCTTCTCTACCTGCCCTTCAGGAGGGGGCAGATTCTTAGAGCTTATGATTCCTCTAATTCCTGTGACACTCTCCTTCCCTCACTAGGGAAATGAAAATGTCCAGCTGCCCCAACTCATCTGATCTCCTCTTTCTGACACAGGTTGGAAAGTTCCACTGGAGATTCAATTATGAAAACTGTTTTGACTATACCTTGTGACACATGTGGATGACCCTCGGCACTGAGGAAAAAAGAAACTACGAAGTTCCTGATGGACCATCCGCATAGTGAACAACAATTATTTGGCATCCCGAAAAGTCCACCAATCCTGGCCTCACATCATGATACCCATGGGGAAAAAAAAAACTATAAAACTTCAAGAAGAAAAATTTTTATAGTCTTAGGGTGGGATGGTTTTCCTAAGCAAGACACAAAACTCAGTATATTGGCTTATATACATATTTTTAAAATTTTTTTGAAGGATATACAAATCACCAAAGGAGAACAGGAGTCTGAGCAACAGTAGTAGAAGGACAACATTTTACTGTAACTCATCTTACACATTTTGAATTTTGACTCTTGAACTGTATCACCTAACTCTTTAAAAGACGTTTCAAAATAATGGAGTCAATAATAGATACAACTGTTCTTGGCATCTAGCTGCTTTGTTGTGAGAAGGCTAAGCTACATGGAAAGGCCATGTGGAAGAGAACTACAGATGCTGGTTGAGACCCCCAGCTAGTCCCAGCCCCCTCCCAGCCACCAGAGGAAGCCTACCCTGGAGCTGCCAGCTATCCCAGCACCCCAAAAGACACCACATGGAGCAGAAGAACTGCCTGGTAAGCCCCACAATTATGAGAATGATAAATTGATGTTCTAAGTCACTAAGATTTAGGGTGGTTTGTTACAGTGTAACAGGTAACAAAACAGAGTCATTGGTGCATGCAGAGCAAGGTAAAGCCCCATGATTCGATGAGATCGCCAAGGAGATGTTGAAAATGATTGTGCCTTCTTTCATCTAGAAGACAAAAAGCATGGTTAGTCTCAGAACCACATCTATTTATTAATAGCTTCCTCTCTACTCTTAGAATTCTGAAGATGGGGTTGTCACAGAGGGTGCCTAATTAACATGCTTGCTTGAATTATAAAAAGAAATTAGACTTTCTCTGACAGGAAGTAAGTATGTCTAATTTGGCTACTTGCTTTGACAATCAGATTTGCCTTTCCCAATTCATATAAATCTGTAGCTCCAAGATTTTGAAGAAAATACGTTTAAAGCCTATTATAATATGCAACATGCTAGAAAATTTATTATTTGCAACCATTTAGACTCATGGTAAAAAAATGTTTAGGTATCCACTAAAATGCATGAAGGGGCATAAAGGTTTCAATATTCTTTTAGAGCATACAGAAGCAAAAAAAATCTGATGCCCACTGAATGACAGTATACTTTCACAAAGAAACACTATGCAGCTATGAATAAAGAATGATGAGGCTTTCTGTGAATTGATATGAAAAGATCTTCAAGACATACTGTTGGGTTAAAAACGCAAGGCATAGAGCAGGATAGTTAGTATTCACCTGCTGTTGATCAGAAAGGGATAACTTAGGTATGAATTCTGATTTGCTTATATTTACAAAAAGAGATACTGGGAGGGTTCCCGAGAAACTAATACTGATGGTTACCTATGGGAAAAGTGGCTTGGTAGACAGGTATAGGGGTCATATAAAGACCTATTTATTTTGTACTAATTTTTGAACACTGTGAGTACATTATATTTTCATATATTTTAAGTCCTCAGAGAATAAAATAGTAGATAAAGTTGCAAAAACATGAATGTTAAAAGATAATGCAGGAAGTAAATATTTGCCATGTTTGCAACAATAAATTATACAAAGGGTTAATATCTCTAATTTACAAAAAGTTCCTAGAAACCATTAAGAAAAAGTTAACAACATGGTATAAAAATAAGTAAAGATTATGAACAGGCAACCCACAGATAAGGAAATATAAATGACTGATAAAAAGTAAAAAGATGCTGACCATTACTAATGATCAGGGAAATGTTAAGTAAGCAATAACAGCATGCCACATTTTACCTACAAGATTTCCCCCAGCAAAAACACACACACACACACACACACACACACACACACACACACACACAACAAAACAACCAACCTAGTAGGAGACTAAATTGATATAATATTCTTATAAGTCAATTTGGCAGTACAATCAACATTTCTAAAGCATGTAGCCTTCAACCTAGCAATTCTTCTAAGATTCTCACCTACTGAAATATCTGTACTTATACACACATTGCAGTGTATTCTATAACAGAAAAAAAAAGGAAAGAAAAAACCTAAATGTCCCACAATAAGGAACTAATAAGATAAACTATGACACAGCCTACATTATACTTAGAAACCATTAACAAGAGCAAGCAGTTTTATATGTAGTAACATGAAAGGGTTCCATGATCTATTATTGAATGAAAGGATATGATTTGCGAAATAATTGGAAACAATTTGTATTATCCCACTTTTTGTGAAAATAGACATATAAATATATACATACACACTATCAATATGTATTTCACTATGCCTAGAAGAGTTCTAGTAGGATATACATATACCAAACTATTAACAGTAGTTATCCCTGAAGAATGAAGAAAGGTAGAGAATTGTGTTTTGTAAAATTTTATGTTGTTATAATTTTTTTACTATAAGCACTTGTTACTCTGGTAATTTTCAAAGCATTTAAATATTGAAGCTGCTACTAAAGTAGTGGCTCAAATCTTTTCTGAAAAAGGAGGTGCTCCCTCAGGACCATGGCAGCAATTTCCTTCTCTACCCCCTACTCATAAGGTCTAGAATGTGAAATGGTCTTCAGAGAACCCACAGGTCACAGTAAAAAATTCACCCGACTTATCCACCTGTTCAAGTGGCTGGCAGATGGAGTTCTATCACTATATCATGAGAAAATGCTATTCATTCCCCACTTTGTTCCACATCCCTTATTTACCACAAGAGTCAGGATGGGTTCTCCATAACAAGCATTCAGGAAGAACCTCAACTCCTCTCAGATCATTCATTTGTCAGCCACTTAGACACCTTATGGGACTTTGGTCAGCAATGGAAACTATGTTTCATCTCAAGTTCCAGCTCTAACCAAGGGGCAGTGACTGTCCAGAGCTTTGTGTTGAAGATTATGCGGCTACTTACAGGATGGATGGGGAAAGAATGGTGCCATCAATTAGTGATGTCTGCCAAGGACAAGGCAGGAAGAACTGTGATACACTAGCTTTCAAGTCAGCCATCCCTGCCCTTGTACAATGGGCTCTGACTCCCCAAACCTCAAGCTTTAAAACCTGCCATCTCTACTTAAGAGTTTTATGCATCAGGTGGGGGAAGCTGAAGGTGGTGGGAGGTGGCACAGGGTAAAGTAAGGTGAAAGCTGACTGTGACTGTGTCGTTACATGGTACGTCTATCAGAAGACTGTGAAGATGTGGGGTGTCTGAGGGAGGGGAAGGGGGCCCTCACAGGTGGAGCTGTGGCTCCAAACAGCTGCATATGGAAGACTCTGAACATCTGGTTGCACTGCTGGTCTGAGGTAAGCCCTGAGCCTGGATTCCATCTGTCATGTCTAATGGAGTTCCTTATCCCAAAGACTCAGCAATTGTGCCCATGTAAGAAACATGCCTTTCACAATTTTGAAACCTCCAAGTGCCCTGTTAATTGGCAATCCACTCATATTCCCATAACCAAAAACAGAAAAAAGAAGCCAAAGCCAAAAAAATCCCAGAACTTCACGTGTTGTAACTAAAAACACTCAATAAACAAAGCTAGTACTTGGGCTCCCTTGGGGAGTAATTGTCTAAACATGCTTCCTTCTTTCAGCTGGTGAAAGAGACAGATGTGCTAAAACTGTATGGAGCTCATCTTGAAAGCATTAATTTTTCCAAACACTGATGTGCAGCTCATGTGCTTTTCCTGAGCAAGTGGCAACAGGCAGTGAGGAGGCTGCTGAGGATACCCCTCCGTGCTGGATCTGACTGTAGCAGCAACAGGGATTCAGAGGAAGTGGTCATACTGAAGCTTGGGGCAAAGTTGGGAATTCGGAAGGCAGAGGCCAAGGCCCAGCCACCATGACCTGTCACAGGGAGGGGCTGCACAACACCTGTGCACTAAAGACGTGGGGTTGGATTACCATTTACAAACTGGAAGGAAAGAAAGCAGAACCAATGCCTTAACCCCCTTTCAGGCCTACTCCCTCGGGGCCAAGTTGGCAATCAACCAAACTATTCTTCCTCACAGCCTGTAGCTCCAACAACCACACACAGTGGCGGAGCACCAGCAGAGGTCGGCCATTTCTGGGTATTGATCTTTAAACCATTTTCCTTTCTCCTTCTCCCCATTTAGGGATGGGAATCTACTGTGGAAAATGTGATTTGGTCATCCACAGTTAAACTGTTGTTTGAGTCCCAAGTCCCTTCTCGCTAGGAGGTCAGGGACAACCTCCCTGCAGCCTGTTCACATAGGATGAGACATAACAAAACCATCCACTGAGGCAAGGAATCTCATCGTCTGCCTGACAAAGACAGAGTCAACAATTAGGATATGCCAGAAGTTCTGTCAGTCTTAACAAGACAATTTCCAAGTTGATTGTTACCACAAGGCCCATGCACGTCTAACAGCATGCCAGGATTCTCACTGGGAATCAGTGCTACACACACAGGCATAGTAATTGTTTTGTCACCACTAAGGCTCCGCAGCCAACTCCCTTCAAATGCCAATTCTAACAGTTGTGTAAGATCGGGCAAATTACTAAACTTCTTTGTGCCTCCGTTTTCTGTAAAATGGGGATGATAATAGTATTTAAATAACTTCATAAATGTAAGGGGCTTAGAATAATATCTGGCACACAGAAAGCATTATATATGTGTTTATGATTATCATTATGTTGTCAGCCTTCACGTTTCCATGCTAAGCTATCTCTTCCCTTTGGATCCCTGCATATGCTCTTCCTAGGCTTGGAACACTGTTTCCCATCCTGCCTTCATCTAGCTATCTGTGTTAATTCTTCAGGTCTCCAGGAAGCCTTCCTGGCCAACTCAGCTGGACCAGCCATCCCTGCATCTGCACCCACCACATCTTGTACTTTTTCAACACCATATTAATGTCCCCATATTATCATCTGTCTTCCCACCCAGGTCCTGTTCATTGGTGTATCCCTAGCGCCTGGCACACAGAAGTCACTCAATAAATATGTGCTGAATAAATGAAAGGGGAATAGATGAAGGGCAGCTTTCATTCACTCAACAAGCATTTACTAAGTGCCTACAAGATGTCACACCCTAGACTATACCTGGAAATACATGAAGGAACAGAACACCAAGGCTGCTCTCCAAGAGCTCACAGAGTTTCTCCCTTCTAGCAGTAACTCAAGAAAAAAGTGGAGGTGGGTGTAACCCTGCCCAAGGCAGGAGGTCAACCAAGTACCAGAAGGAAGGGGTGCTCTCAGAGAGGAATACAGGTTTACCTAGGATAGGTCTGTTTAACTGGAAACAAGCAGCAGAAGCTTTGATTCTGTTTATCATGCCTGCATGTGAAGAATTAATGTAGCTTTGCACTGATGAAAAATAAAAGGTGGACTCTTCTTTATAAGGGTGGTTTATTTACCCAAGCATCAGTCTAACTCTTTCAAGAGAAACACTGGTTAGTTCATTGCGTTCATGTTGTCTGCATACTATTTTTACCACACTGTAAACTCCTCTGAACCGAAGTCATTGTTTGTCATGATCATATAGTTTATATCCCACCCCACTGCTGCCTTCCATAAGCACCGAGCACCTAACATAGTGCCCAGAGTAAAGGGACACTGCAGATTGCAAAAGGGGCACAATTCACTCATTTGGTATCACTTCCCTTCTGCATTCCTCACTATGTTTTTTAGGTTTGTTAGAGGAGTATTTGTTGTTTCTTCTAATTTTCTGAAGCAGAACTGGCACCACCACCACCTCACCCCCCAAATAAAGCCAGCTGTGGGATTCTGGAGAAGAATTACTTGGTTGTAGCTTTGCCAGAGCCTTCCATAGCTCAGGCCCATTGAAGGAAAAAATAGGAAACAGAATTTCTACTTACAGTAAGAAAAAGTTGGAGCAACTTTTCCCTTGGAGATTACATCAAAGATACTTGAGGTTATGTTTTCCATACTAGTTGCCCTAAAAATGAGGAAACACAAGAACTTTTCCTCAATGAAGAATCTAAGCCTGGCTACCTACAGAAGGGCAATGGTGCTGCCAAACCCCAGCCCGGGAAGCCATGCAGCCTGATGCAATTGCAGCTGGGCATCCAGGGACAGCTACACTGCCTCCATGCTCCACCACCTACCCAGAACCCCTGGACCACAGTCTCATCTTCACTACCATTTTGAGGGTCATCTGTGGCATGTCTTATAACAAATTTCTAAGCTAGATAAAAGTAAGTTAGAAATTAACCTGCTTATCATTTCTATTCTTTTTATGATGATGCAAAGTAAGCCAGTAAGGCTGTGACTCAGGGAAAGTCCTTTAACCATGTTTACAGAGACAACTTTGTGAGGATGACTACATGTCAATGCACACATACATGCACTAAGCCTGTGGATGTCTGTGTGAGTATACCGCTGTTTTTTGTTTGTTTGTTTTTGAAGTTGTTTTTTGTTTGCTTGTTTTTTCTGAGACAGGGCCTCATTCTGTCACCCAGGCTGGAGTGCAGTGGCTTGATCTTGGCTCACTTTCAGGCTCAAGGGATCCTCCCACCTCGGCCTCCTGAGTAGCTGGACTACAGGTGTGTGCCACCACATCCAGCTAATTTTTGTATTTTTAGTAGAAACAACATCTCCCTATGTTGCCCAGCCTGGTCTTGAACTCCTAGGTTCAAGCGATCTGCCTGTTTCAGCCTCCCAAAGAGCTGGGATTACAGGCGTGAGCCACTGTGCCCGGCCCCTTTACCTCTTTTATGTTTTGATAGGGTGGGACAAATTAGCCTGAATAACATTAGAAATATAACCCATGAGCTTTTCACTAAAGCAGCTATGTCTCAGCCATCAGACAGTTTCCCTGGGAGACCAACTAGACTGAGAACATATAGGTAAGACAGGCAACTGGGAGTGGACAGCTTATTTTTTCTTGATATCTTTGAGACTGAATACACTCTTGCATGGAGGTACATAAACACATTGCTCATTAAAGTGTTACCAGGATCTATTTTAAATAACAGATGCCCAGGAGCAACGTGTGCCGTTCTCATTTCCCTCCATGACAGTCCCGCTACAGTAGACAGGAGAATGTCATAGAAGGTGAGTCTGGATTTCTGCTAAGCCTTTTACAAATGTCCTCCATGAAACTCTTGTATATGAGATGGTAAAAAATGAATGGGATGAGCGTATAGTTGGGTAGAATTGCTGTAGATAAACTGCATGGACCAAAGTGTTTGTTAGGAGCATACAGTGAGCTTTAGGTGGAATGCAGGTCTCTGGTAATGGCCACAGAGCTCCTCCCTTAATTGTTGTGTTTGACTTTTAAAACAATCGTTTCCTTAGATCAGGAGATCAAAGATATGCTTATACTATGGGCAAAACTGGTATAGTGGGCTTAATATTATAATAGATGATCAAAATCAAGACATAAAATTATCTGGGCAGATTCGAACACTAGGTCAAAATTAACAAGGGCAAATTTCATGTCTGAGATCTACATTTTAAAATAAACATATATGTATCACTCACCCAGTCTTTTGTATCTACCCTAGAGAAGCACTTGTACATGTGTACAAGGAGACGCTGTTTATGATGATTTTAAACACCAGAAATAATCGAAGAATTGCTAAGAAAACTATGGAATATCCACACTGTGAAATACACTATGCAGAAGATTTCCAGGACATGCTGCATGCAGAAAACTTGCAAAATGATATGTTAACCTCAAACACACATACACAATTTACACATTTCTGATGATATCTATCTATCTATCTATGTAAATGCACAGAAAGATCTGGAAGGACCCCTAATAACTAATACCAGGATCTACCTCCAAAGAGAAACTGAGTTGGTATGGAGTTCAAAAAGGCTTTGGCTTTACGAGTAACCTCTGAAATTTAGAATGTATTTGTGTTAAACTTGTGTCATTAAGCTTTCTTTCTAAAGTACAGCCTTGCTTTTAGCTTTTTAAAAAAAAGTTTTACAGTGTGGGAAAGGATACAAATTCTTGGGCTTTCAGTTACCACAAACCTAAGAGGAGTCAGCATTGTGGAAAGGCTACAGAAAGCTAACTCATACTATACAGAAGGTGTTAGAAGTTTCGTGTTCAGACAGCCTGCAAGTACTAGAGTTCACTAACCTGATCTTGTCTGGAACAATGGGTTGGATCCAATTCTGGCAGCAGGAACACTGGCAACATAGAATGCAACTAGAGGAAAGAAATGCTATGGGGATTCTGAGAAGCATGACATCAGAATAATAAATATGGAACTATGACTGTTTAACCTGAAGACAAAAAGATTATGGGGAAACAAACACGTTCCTGCAAATATTTGAAAGCTTATTATATAGATGAATCACTAAACTTGTGAGTTTTTTCCAGAGGTAAACATGAAGACAAATAAATACAAGTGACTTTTCTATTTAAAAATAAATAAAAAGAAAAAACATTCTAACTAACAAGAATGAAAGACAAAATAGCCTGTCAGGCCAGATCATGAGCTCTCTGTCATTGGAGGCATTCAACTAAAATACTTATATAAAAAGACGTTGGGTTTTATTAGAAGAAAAACTATGTAATCTTTAATATCTCCAACAACTCTATGTTCTATGATTCCATATTTTGACTGCAGAATCAATTTTCAATCAATGTAGTCTCATCAATTCCAAATCCCACAGGTGGTATACTCTACCACCAGGTGGCAGTAGATGTCTTGGGCTCTGGGTCCTAAATGTTAGGTGTGGTTAAAAAGCAGCACAGTTTAATACCTTTAAAAATAAAATAATAAAATAAGAGAACAGAGTACAAGCATTAAGCCAAAAAAGTAATCCCTTTTAAAGAAACATGTAAGTATCATTCATAATCTTTCTGATTATCCATCACAATGATTCTTAATCCATTTGTCTTCCTCTTGTACATTTCTTTTGTACAGGGTCTACGGAGACCCCTTATCTTCTGTGGCCTCCTCTCTCTGGTATCAAGTTTCCTGACTTGTATACAGTTCCTCATCCCCACGTCTGTCCTTGATGCAAAAATCCCCTCTGCTTCCTCTGCAGCTGCAGATCATGTTTGCTACTACAGTCTCTCTTCCCGACCCAAGAAGAACTATCTGTAGGGTCAGAAAAACACCCCAGCCTCTTCCTGCTTCTAGCCTTCCTGCTCTGTATCCACACAGCTGAAGCCACAAAACAAGCAAGCAACAAACAAAAACAGAATAGGCCCCACCCTGACAGCATGAAAGTATATGATTATCTTTTCCCAGATAGAAGAGAATAATCTTCCACCCAGCTCTTAAAAGAGAAAACTTTCTGTCTCCAGCCACAGCTGTTGGCTTGGTAAAAGTTGAATACAATCAACAACCCTTGTCCCAGTCCCTAGAAACCTTCAAATGTTAACAACTGCCTTGGTTGAGAGTGAGAGATCACTTCAGAAAACCTAGTACTAAGGAAGTATTTCTGTAAGTGCTTGCGAGTAAATGCAAATAAAACAAGATTTTTTAAACTGAGACTTAAAGCAATTTTACTATGTACCTGAGTCAAGGTTCTACTCATCTTTCTAGTCTCAGGTGGAAGACCTCTTCTTCCAGCAAGCCCTCGAGATGTTAGGACTATGTTTGTTGTCTCTGCTATGTGCTCCCATATCCTCCTCAGTGTCTCCCGTCACAGCCCTGTACCTCCCCAGCCACAGCCCTGTACCTGCCCTGTCACCATCCTTACCACATGCATTATGGCCACTCTACCAGCCTGTTTCCCCATTACACGACAGGGCCTAGACTGTACCTGATGCATTTACCACTGAGCCCCTAAACACAGTAGGACCCAATAAATATCCATGAGGCTATTATAAATACATTATCAATTAACTAATTCATATGGAACCCAAGTCTAGGCAGCTGTTTCACTGAGGTAAATATCCATTCCACAAACACTTTGTGTCTCTTATGCTAGTATAGTACAGAATGAGTCAGACCCAGGTCCTGCCCTCAAACAACATACAGTTGAGTAAGGAAGTCAAGACAAGTACACAAATACCTACAGCACAAAATATATAAAGGAGCACCACAAAAAGATGAATATTAGAGGATGGAAAAACAGGAGCAAAGGCACAGAGATCACCAAGTAGTTCAAGTCACTGGAGCTAAGCCTATGGGACAGGTAATACCGGGGCCAGAGCGTAGAGGTCCTTGAATAATACCTTTGAGTAGTCGGTATATGCCAGGCTAACTGCTTTACATTCATGATCTCATTTATTCGTTGAAACAATTCTATGTAAAACCCCCTATCACAAAGAAGCAAACGGGTCCACAGAAGTCAAGAAAACTGCCCATGATGTCACAGTTGATAAGTGGCAGAGCTGGGATGCACACCCAGGCCAGCCTTATGACCATGGCAGCAATGCTGTGGTGCTCTGGAGCCTGGGATGCCAAGTTAAGGAGTTGCTACTTTATCCAATGGGAGCTACTTTGAGCAGGAGCATGCCAAGGTTCAAAGACTGTGCTTGGGAAGACGTATCAGACGGTAATGGGGAGAATAGATTGGGAGTCAGGTTTGAAGCCTATTGCAATAGTACCAATGTTGTATCATTAAACTTCTGAACTGGAGAGTGGCGGTAGAACTGGCAAGGGGATTCAGAGCTGAGAAGTTCCAGAGGAAGAGCGGGGACAATTAAGGATGATCCCAAGCTATGCACCTGAATGACTGGAAGGATGCGGATTTGGAAGTGGCCCTGCATATGTGCATGCCATGGGAAAGAGTAGGAATGAATGAGTGGCCCTGCATATGTGCATGGCATGGGAAAGAGTAGGAATGAAGAGTAGGAATGAATGGCCTTAAGTCCTCAGGAGCCCCAAACCAGGGGGCAGCCTAAATCCTCTCCACTCTTTTCCTCTCCCTAAGCATTGCTGCTACCTGCAAAAGCTTCCTGACTTCCCTGAGCCTTCCCACCCATCTGGGGCATCTGAGCTCAGCAACTCACAAAAGCAGAGGGATAATAATGCGACATGAGACATCACACAACCATGTCCACCCAGGTCTACTCTCCTCTGGCCAGCCTGACCCAGCGCAGACAATGTCTGGTCCCAAACCAGCACCAAGAAGTGGAATAGCAGCAGACAGGAGTTAGAGGCCACAGGTAGTGATTCTGACTCCTTCACTGACTCCCTGTAACCTTGGACCAGAAGCTTAACTTCTCTGGATCTGTTTCCTAATCTGTAAACCGAGGAGTTTGAACCAGAATCAGAAGCTGCAAACTAGGGGCACACAGGACAAACTCATCTTGTGAATGGACTCTGACCAACACAATGTCTTTTAATTAGCTTCAACATTTAAAAACTGGGCCACTTCACAAAGAAAGTGCATATTTGCCGCTGTTCTTGAAGCAGGAAGGTCTGGCAACATGGAGCCCACATTCCTACATGGCATCAATCAGCTGGGGCTGAGTGGCTGCTGGGACACCACCCTCCAGTTTGCCACAGTCCCCACCACCCCTACTGTCCCTGATTGCTGCCACTCATCATCTATACATGGGTCATTATGATCTTTTATGCTAATGGTCTGGCCCCTGTAGGGAACTGAGTTCACAACCTCTAGAGAAAATGATCTAAAATATCATCATTGCAAGACTCAGGAGTTGGGGACATTAAACAGAAGCACAGAGGAGTTGGGAGTGATTTTCCCTCAATGGAAGATGCGGGCTCCTCCGAGGAGCAAGGGCTTGCTACAGCGGATGAAGGTTCATTAACACGTGTGTCAGGCCTGCCCACCGCCCCACACCACACCCTCAACAAGGCACAAGGCCAGATGACATCAGCCTTGGACACAGTCAGAGAAGCCCCATCATGAAGCAATTTGCTTCCCCAGCCACTCTAATTTAACAATTAGCTTAACAACTCTGGTCAGGCACTTGCTGCTGGAGTGGAGAAATGATCCTGATCAGCAGAAGCTTCAGCCTAGAAGCTTTAGGAACTCCCTTCCTATCCCCCCACCCTAGCTGCCCTTGCTTCCCTTGGGTCTGCATCTCCTGCTCACACAGATAGATATTCTAAATATCTCCAAAGAGGTTTCACCTTCTCCTTGAGCTTCCCAATTGGGCTCCTTAGAAACTTTCCAGCAAAATTAGTTTCTCCTGCTGCCACTTCAGCCCATTCTCTTAGTCTGTCCTGCAGAGATTCTGGCCTCATCGCAGGAAGCACGTCAGGCCAGTAGCGAGATGGCGTGTGGAAGGAAGCCTGCACATAGGCCACACGCAGAGACAGGGGTATACTCACAAGGCTGGCGACCTTGGGCCGTCCTTGGTGCAGATCCTGACTCAGAGCACAAGCCTCAGAAACAGAGTTTGCCCTGACTCAGACAGCATGCTCAGCTCCGCATCTGCATTGCCAAAAGGCCTCTTGGTAAGAATGCACAATACTCCCTCTCTACAGCTTGTGCTGCTCCTGCCTCAAGCTGCACCCCAAACCCGAATGCCAAATTTCAGAGAAAGAGAGCGAGATTATTAAGGGGACGTCAAAAGGAAAACTTTATAAAGTCACAGTCTATTATTTTTAAATACAGTATTAGAATTCCAGGATAGATGGGGTGAAGCCAGCACCTAAAATAGCAGACCCTCAAGAAAGCAAACATCCCTGCATGACCAGATAGAGATTTCACAGAGAACCTGGAGAAAGAAATGGCTCATAAAAATGGAACAACAACCAGGAAACTAATCAGACCAAAAATAAACCTGAGAGATGCCAATGCCAAGGTCAACCCCAAAGGTTATTTTGTTCCAATGGGGCCAAATCAGTGGAACCAGTTGATGATACTCTTAGTACAAGTGGTGTCCTCAAGAATGAAAATCCTTCCCAACTTGCCCTCCTTGATGGACAGGAGCGAGGTCAGGGTTGAAACTGCAGTGAGGGCATGAGAACCCGACTGACAAATGAAGTGTAAATAAATCACCAGAACCATATGGCACCCACCTGGGAGTCCTAAAGGAATTCAAGGGTGAAATTGTGGCGAGGCTGCCCAAAATGTGTAACCTCTGATTACAAAGTCACTCATGCTCTAGAACTGGCAGAGTGCCCATGTAGCCTCCATTCATATGAAAGGATCCAGGGAGAATTCTAATTTTCATACCAGGAAAGTAGGCAGGACATAGCTTAAGAATAGGACTACTGAGCATGCAAGCAAGCATGATCTATCAAAGAAAAAGACAGTATGGCTCTTACAAAAGCAAAGCTTGTTTGTAATAGTTTTTCAGAGAGTAAATATGAATGCGAACTAATAAAAATCTGTCCATTTACATAAATTTAATTTACATAAAATTTCCAAGATACTATAGTAAAAAGCTTTTTAAAATTGAATAACAATGCAACAGGAAAAACACTTTTTCAGTAAACTACTTGGAGGCCAGAAACAAAATGAAAAAATATACTGACATGTCTCCAAATTAAAGAAAGTTTAAAAGTGGGGTTCATAAGCCATCATGACACTAGAACTTGTCTTATATAACATTCTTATAATCTGTAGGAGGGAGCTAACGTGAGGTACTCTATGGAGCTACACTTTTCCAGGCAGGAGAAAGAAACGCTGATCAAGAGAAATGATAGGACAGTCTTTCCAGGTTCTAAGAGTTGATGTAGAAGAGGTGACTGAGTTTCAGTGTGAGGGATGGATCTACTTCATAATAGTTCCTTAGTCTCCTCTCTCCAGATAAGATAAATTCTGGGCTCCATTCTCTGGACCTTGTGATTGTGGGCTCCAAAACTTACGTATGCCTGGAAAACAGCAACAAATGCAGATTTAACTCACAGAAAATGCTTCTGACTAGACTATCATAGAGATTGTCCACTGAATTTGGTTAAACCCTGACCAGTCAGGCCTGCCATGGCCCTGCCCTTCCTTCTTCATGACAGTGCCCATTCAATGCATGGAACTCCAGCTTTAGAAATTCAGGGCACACATTCATAGAAAAGTCATTCTGAAGCTATGAACTGAGAATTCTAAAACAAACAATAGAGTATGATTGGATTTACCCATTCCTTCTATTTTTGTTACTGCATCTCTGTCTTGGGCATATAGCAGGGAGCTGACTGTAGAAATGCAAACCTGAGTAAGCTCAGCACCCCCTGCCTAGCCCCACTGTTCCCTTGTAACCTATCCCATCCATCTAGTCTGCTTGTCCTACTACCTCCAACCTGGTAAGAGGCATTGCAACACTTTCTTTGCTCTATCTCTGCTATCCAAGTCCATTCATTCCTTCAAAACTACAGGCAACAGAACTTCTCCCCTCAGTCATCCTATAGCATGATGAGACCTTGAAACTTACTACACCATTCTGGGCTTGAGATCAGTGCCTTGATGGAGAAATCAGAGACAAAATACTTCTATGTTGTGTCACCTGCAAAAGCCTATTCCAATAAATTATAGTAGCTATGTCCATAGGTTCGAATCCAGGCCCTCCTAATTATGAGTTGAGTGAACTCAGAGATCAATATCCTCATTTGCCAAACAGGTAAAATAGTGTTTATCTACTTAAAAGGGCAATTCTGGGGATTAACTGTGGTAATGCTTATTTTAAAGAGCTTGATATAGTAGCTAGTGCATAATAAGAAATCCATTGATATTAGCTAGTACTAACATGTTCCTAAACAGAAAATTTATTCCTTTTTTATATTTTCTCCTCAGTCTAAATGCAGCTTTTAAAAGGCTACTTAAAAAAAGTGGGGGTGACTGATGCTAGTTCTCTGTTCTGCAGCTCTGCGGCTCTCAGTTGTCCCTATAGTATCTTTTTGCACAGTATTTTCTTAGGCTTGTCTATATATTGCTTAACAAATTGTGAAGTCCTTCCTATGTGTCAATGTCACTGCTGCCTGTTCTTGAGTAAAGTTTGCATGGAAAAGGCAGTATGCCTGCAATTTTAAAAGGAGTGGGCCATTTACTGCTTCCAAGAGGCTCCACAGATGGCATTGTTCTTGATTAACCCACAAGGTAAAGGGTGTGTACTCTGAAACTAGACTGGATCAGTACTTTGAGAGCAGATCTATCACTGGGTGAAGATTCGTATTAACCAAGCTCACAAGGCTGATGTATAAGCCAGAAACTCCATATCTTGAGTGCCAAAAGTAACAACGAACCACAACTGCCACAGGACCCTGGAGTGCTCAGTTCACTATAATCAGTGTAGGCTGATGCACTGGGGATGCCAAGCCGTCATCGGAACGTTGCATGATGAACATGTAATCAAGGCTTGGGAAGTCTGCAGAACAAGCCATGGTTCAACATCAGCAGGCCATGATGGGATGGACTAGCAAGAACAGTGCTGGTCCTGTTGGAGAACCAAAGGGCCCTGGTGGGCAGCCAGAGTCTGAATGGGCACCACCAGCTTCTGCTTCAACTTGCCTTTCAGAAGTGCCCTGGCTGGCCAGCAACTTCTACACAATCTTTCTCTAAATTGAACTCAGAGCAATTAATTAGGTTTTATATTACTAAATTACAATCGCATTTCAGCCAATATCCCTGAGATTATTTCCAGGTCACACTGATGGAGTCTTTTGCTTCACGTATTTGCAAAACACCTCCTGGTCCGTAGCTACAGATGGTAGATCACATCCATGTGGGATACACGGATGGACCCAATTTAACCCTCAGAGGCAGCTTCATTTCTATTATTTCCAGGTTCCTGGGGGTGTGGGAGGATGGGCTTCACTGTTACCTCCAGGAAACCTCTATGGGCTAAATTACCCTGGGCCAGGATCCCCATCTTCTCTTTTATTTCAAGGTTATTTCACAAGTAAAACAGGAGTTAATTTGCAGCAACCACCTCATCAATGGCATTGATTGACTTATCAGGTAAAACTGCAGATATCTGCTTTATTAACAGGAAGAGACCACTTTCAGGTGTTGGTTGGAAAGAGGGAGACAGACAGAGGAACAGAGACACAGAGAGCAGATACAGGGAGCAGATCGGAACAGAACAAGTCCAGGAATAAGAATGCACTGAGCTGCTGCCTTTACAAGGACTTGCAGAAGGAAGTGTAATATGTTCCTGGATTGTATTTAGAAAATTGATATCCACTACTTAAAAAGGAATAGCTCCTCTCCCACTACATTTATCTGGCCCAATATCCTCTTTTTCTTCCCTGGTGTCAACAGCCCATGGAAGAACATCCAGCTTTAGTCCTTAGAAGAAAAAACTTGAAAACTTGCATAGAAATACAACTTATTCCTCAAGTCTCAGACTCCCTAGCCTAGAAGAGACCTTCAAGAGGTCTTTTAGGAATCTCTGTGACTCAAGAACTGATGTGCCTAAGGGAAATTCTAACAGAGAAGACACTTTGCCATTTGGGAAATTCTCACCTTCCTATATAGTTGTGACATGGACATATTCTGCTCTCTTTCTCTGGGTTTAATTGAGGGGCAAGGCAATGTCGATGAAGAGAGCTATGGTTCAGATGTATCCCCTCCAAAATTTAGATGTTGAAACTTAATGGCCAATGTGATGGTATTAAGAGGTGGGGTCTTCAAGAAGTGACTAAATTATGAGGGCTTCTCCCCTCATCATGACTGAGATTAGGCCCTCACAAAAGAGGACACAGTATTCAAGGTGCCATCTTGGAAGCAGAGACTGAATCCTTACAACAAACCTGCCACCTCCTTGATCTTGGACTTCTCAGCCTCCAGAACTATGAGCAATATATTTCTGTTCTTTATAAATTACCAAGTACCAGGTATTTTGTTATAGAAGCACAGATAGACTAAGATGTCTTCTGCTCTCCTCTTTTGGGTTGAGTTGCAAGGCAATGTTGATGAAAAGAACCCAAGCTTTGGAGCCAGACAGCCTTAGGTGAGATCTTCGTTTTGAACATTTCTGGCAAATCACTTAACCTCTCTGGGTATGTTTTCGCGCTATAAACGGGAGTAACTACTTCCTTTCAGAGTTGTTGGGAGAAATAGAGATTGCATTTGGAAAGTGCTCAGTCAATGAATTTCCAGCAAACTTATACCTGCAAGGGATGGGATGACACCATTACAGAAGTCACCCACCAGGTAACATCTGACTGGGTTCAAATCACCAAGCATCCCAGCACACCTACACAGGCATGTACACCATGCCCCCCATGTCATCTAATCAGGCACAAGGCTGCCTCCCTCCCCTTCCTGATCACCTTCCACATAGAAATGCTAAGTTTTAAACATGAGGTTTAAACATGAATAGAAACCTTTCAATGACAGACATCAGCACACACACAAAAAAAAAAGACAGTGGAAGGGAGCAAGACAAGGCAGAAACTATCCCTAATTAAGGCAATTTCAATCATACAAATATTATATATGTGAAAGGGACTTTAACAGTCATTCAGTGAAATCCTCTCTTTTTATAGGTGGCAAAACTGAGACCCAGAAAGGAGAAGGGACAGGCCCACAACAATGCCAGAGGCATCCTAAAACCAAGACCTCCTGACTGGGCTGAGGATCCACTGAAATTGACACACAAGGCAAATGCCAGAGGAAGGGAAGGCCAAGCTTACATTTACATAGCCGCTATTTTATAAACAACACTGGGATAGGCACTGAGACTTAGGAAACAAGTTCCCAGCTTTCCTCCAGGAGCTTAACGGTCTGTCTAGCTGGGTAGCAAACACCTAACATGTGAAACAGTAATAATGAAAGTGGGTTTGTGATGACAAGTCATGGAATGTGTTCAGGGAGATCAGAGATGGAAACAGGGTGATGTCATAGAAGATCTCTTCCCCACAGGTAGTGGGACATGCTACAGACTCATAAAGACCATGGCTAGGATGCAAAGAACATTCAAGCAAAGGTTCCAGCAGGAACAAAGTCTTGGGAACTAGATTCAGTATGGTATGTTCTCGGTAAAGACAGAATGCCAGCAGGTTCTGCAAGGACCTGGTAAGTATGTATGTGGACGCTTCCTGGACCTCTCACCACGGATCATTGAGCTTGGTACTCAGAGCAGAGACTTTCAAGACTGCAAGTTTTTCAGCCATCACCACTTCACAGTCTCTGCCTTCACTCCACACATGCTATCTTTAACAGTTGTCTCTGTCCATAAGCGTTAGAGAGCAAGTCCCCAGAATATAGGGATCAAATCCAGCTAACTGTACTAACTGTAATCCTATCTTCGTCTCATTTTTCCTACCTTAATTTTTCCTCTGCCTCTATTTCATCACCTCCTTATTTTTCTTCATTTTATCTTGTTGTGGTACATTTTTTTAAGCTGTTGTAAATCCCTTTCAAAGCAAGATGATATCTAAATACATGCCTGCTAGTCAAGCCCATTCGCACAGCAGCCTGATAAGAAAGGCTCTCCAGTAGTCTCTCCTCCAGAAATATCTTGGCCGCCCCACTCACTGACTCACCAAATTCATCCTTCCAGGCCTAGGTCAAATGTTCTACAAACCATTCCCTAACTCCCCCAGGCAAAGCTCACCTCCCTTTCCTCTGAGCTTCAGCTGCATGTGGTATCTACTCCTTTAGAGCACTTACCCTAGTCCACTCTGAAATCCACTCTAAACACTGCTAAAAAATTAATTTTGCTAAAGCAAAGCAGTCCTACCATATAATTCCCTCACTCAAAAACACTCAATGGTTCCCCATTGCACAATGAAGGACTCTCTTACTTTACTACAGTTTACATTGTTTGATTTTCTACTTTTGTGCTATACACCTAAAAATCCAACCTGCCTGCCTTTCTTAAGCATGCCCTGTTCCCTGCTAAAGTGAAAGGGAGCAGCAGATTTCATGTGATTCTCTCTAGCACTGACCCTGGGCTGTGCACGACATAGAGGGACACGTGTCGACTCAGCTCTGGGAGATCCCCAGTCTCTCAGACATCTTAACCAGGTTCCCTCAGTATTTCCTCCTCCTCCTCCTCCTCCTCCTCCTCCTCCTCCTCCTCCTCCTCCTCCTCCTCCTCCTAGGTTTCCATGAGTTCCTTTCCCTCCAGGGTGATCCAATAGAAAGAATGTGGACTACAGAAATAGACAAATAGACTAATTGGTTCAAGTCTTAGCTCTGCCACTTAACAGCTGTGTGACTTTAGGCAAGTTCCTAGCCTCTTTGAGTCTGTTTATCTTAAAAATAGGGCCCAAAAAGGTCATTTTAAAGATTAATGAGATATTTGTGAAAATGCTCAATTTTATACCAAACGTGTGGAGGGTATTCAATAAATACTAGGTATGGTTACTAATGATTATTGTCCTTGCTGTTATTCATGCTTCAACATCCAGACAGACCAAAGCAGGAGGTCAGACACCCACTTTACATCCTCAGTCTTCAGTCTCAATGCAGGCACTGCCAGGGCCTGGAGGCTCTTTTCATATCACAAATCACATTACTACCTCATGCATCCAGTGGAAAATGTCACATTGTTCCTTCCTGAGACCATCACTCAGTGCGGGCTCTTCTTTACCCCTCCACAACTCCTCCAAGCTCCATGATATTTTTTTTTTCTTTTTGTAAAACTGATATGTCCCCAGTGCTTCTGTCAATAATCATTATTCAACTGCTGGGGAAAGGGTGTAAATCAATAAATATTTAAAATCTACCAGGCTTCTCTATCATCTCCAGACATGGCAGGGCAGAGGCCTTGATGTTCATCTATGATGAAGGCAGATGGGGAAGAGGGTTTTGTACTAGCTGCCTCTTATTTGTGTCTCTGGCCTAAGCACAGATATTGAGTATGTCAGGTGGAAACAGAGGTGCTGCTAGATGAACTCTAAAGATTAAATCTCACTCTATAGCACACTCAGCAAAAAAGAATCCTCCCAGGAACTTGAAATGTAGATGGATGTGGGACTGTCATTGGTGTCACTGGGCCAACCAGCCTTTTTGGTTTTAGTTCTAATTTCACAAAGTGGTCTGGATGCTCACATGCTGTAACCTCACAGGATGTCACAGAGGATGCTACCCGTGGAAAGGCAGGTTACACCAAGTAGAGGCTGACAAGGGCCCAGACAAGTATACTGAGTTCCACAGATGGAGGTGGGTGCTTTCCTCCCAGAAAGAAGACCATATCCCTAGCCCCAACTTCTAGAATTGGGATCTAGATCCTAGAACTGGGATTTGGTTAAGTTATCCAAACTTTGTCATCCTGCCCCCTCAATGATGAGATTTTCAGACTAGCCACTCAGGGTTAAAGGAGGCACTGCCTATGGAGTAGAAGCCATTTGTTCCTCTGTGTAAGTCTAGCTGGGCCCCATAGGAATCAGACCCATGGTTTGACCTCCTTAAGGCCACTGCCAACCAGCTGAGCTATGGCGTAGGGCCTCAGGAAACATGTGCAGTACATCAGGAGGCAGCTGGGTGGTTACAAGACTACGTCAGGAGTCTCTCAAACTGTGTCTTCACATCCTAGTCAGGCCTCACCAGTCCTCTGCCCAAGCCATGCACCCAGAACCCAGAGCAGTTCATCAGGATAACTGGTGAGTGGCTCCCCTGGCCAGCATAGCTGCCCCAGAGCCTCTCTGAAAAAGTGAGTGTGTGTTGTGAACAGGCACCTCCTACCTGCTGTGCCCTCCTGCTCGCTTCTCAATTCTGGTTTCCATAAACACATCATCAGTGAGAAAGGCTGACATGGCAAAGAGATACACAGGACATAAACTCTGATATGTCACCTAGAAGTCAGGGATGTGATCCTTCTCCCCATTTCTACCCTATCCTAAGTGCACAGACCTATCCCATATCTTTTCTCTTGTGGTTTTTTTTTGTTTGTTGGGGGTGGTTTTGGTGGTTTTTTGTTTTTTGCTGTGTGCTTTAAATTGATTTAATAAACCATGTGATCTGAGCATCCTAATTTGGCTGTGAGCTTCCAGTTCCATGACCTCTGGTTTGGGTACCAACTATGTGTAGAGCATACTTAAAGGCCACCATTGCATCAGAGTAATTCCCCATCACAACAGGGGTGGGTGCGGTGGGGTGGGGTGGGGTAGGGAAGGAAAGAACCGTCAAGGTCAGGGATGTAGGAAGACAGGATAAGTGCTAATATCATATCTGAGGTCTGAGTAGGATTAGGGCCTCAGAAAATATCATTTTACTGAGAGCCTGGCTGTGAGCATCCCCTTTCTGGCTCTGCCATGAAGAAGTTGTGGACTAATCACTTTGCCTCCTGGGAACTGTTTTCTTATCTGAAGGAATGAGGCAAATAGACTAAATTATCTCTAATGTCTCTTCTGGAGCCTTCTGGATCTACCATTTGGGGATTTGAAGTCTGCTCCAGTCTGCACTGCAGCTAACACTGCATCCTTAGAAAGTGGAGTTTGTGTAAAGATACTAGAGCTTACGTAGCTAGAGTATGGAGATCACCTAGCTCACATATTAGTACTGGGAAACTAACTGAAAGTGGGGTTGGAGAAAACTGTGTCTCCTAAAAGCCTCATATTCTCCTAGTCAACCAGGGGCTCCTGTTTGCCCTTCCATCACTCTCCACCTGTTCCAGGCACACCCTCTGTCCTTCTCCAGCCGGCTGAGTGCCCAAGGCTGACCTAGATGGATCATATGAAGGCTCCCTTGCCCTCTGGAATTCTGCTGAGCTCAGCCTCTGAAAAGCTGTGGCAGGAGATAAGAAGAAGCAAGGAGGGTGAAGCGGTGTTCCCTATTCCCGACATTGTCATGGGTGGCCATGAGCTTTCTATGTCCCTTACCCAGGTCACACCTCCTTTTGAGGTTGCTCTTTCACACATTCTGGTAACCACTCGCTTCCCTCACTCCTTCAAATCTAAATCCCTCCCCACACCTTTGTAAAGAGTCCTTTCATTAAACCTTCCTCAGGTTACCCAACATGGCTGGGCCATCTGTTTCCTGCTAAAGCCCTGACTGGTACATCTAATGAACCCATTTTCACCCTAGTGTCATCTTTGAACAATTGATTCACTCTGAAAATCTCTATACTATGCAACTCAACATATTCAGGACTCTCTCTGGTGCAGTGGAATTTCCAGACAGAAGCTGAGTTTTCTTTTCTCCACACCCCTCTTCATCCCTACCTGCAAAATTTCCTGTGCAACATAGAAAGAAAAAAAATCATAATGGCTAGAACTCTCAGTTCTGAGCACAGATGAGCAACACAACACAATGTTCATGTCATTGTCTAATATGCTCTCCCACCTAGCCTGATGACTCAATATCTCTTCTGGGAGATGACCTGCTGCCCCTCTCCCTGACAACACTCAGGCCACCCTCCCAGGGAAAAGGGTATCATCAGGGATCCTGGATCCCCGTCAAGCCCAGCTCTACTCCTGCTCCCACCAAACTCACCAAAACTGGAAAGTGAGCTGAGTTGGATGTCTCTGACTGGCTTCCAGAAAAGTTATGTTCTCTCTCAGCCCCAGTCTGAGCTTGAAATCTCAACTTCCTGAGATGGTTTCTTTTTAGTAATAATAATAAAACAGTTGTTGAGACTTTATGGACTAGATACTGATCTAAGCATTCCATGTGTTATACAATTCCATCTTCACACAACCCTGTGCAGTAGGAACCTTTATTATCTCATCTCATTTTAAAGAGGAGAAAATGGCACATAGGTTAAAACCACATGCCACGATTTGGGCCCATGCAGTCTGGCTTCAGAGCCTGTACTCTTTTTTTTTTTTTTTTTTTTAACTAAGGAATGTTTTAGTCATATGGAAAAGTAGAAAGAATAGTATAACTAGTCACCATAACCTAGATTTAACAATTATTAGCTTATTGCCATATTTGCTTCATCATTTTTGCTGAATTATTTTGAAGTGAATTGCAGACATCCTGACATTTCACCCATAAATACTACAATATGAATCTCTTAAATATGAGGGCACTCAGCTACAATACCATTACCACACCTAACAAAATTAACTAATAATTCTTAATATCATCTAATAACCATCCTATATTCAAATTTCCCTAACTTCATCCCCAAAATATGTAACCCTTCTGAATTCACACATCCTCCTTGCACAGGGCCGGGCTCATCTTGCTAAAATTGTTGCAGTGTTGGCTCATATGCTGCTGCTGAAGCCACATCAGCACCCAGCCCTATCATCACGATGCTATATGCTCCTTCTATGCTTTTCCTTCTTAGTCTTTGAAAATAAGAAACCTTCTCTCTTACTCCAGAACTCCTTCCACTCAATTCTGGTATAAATCTAGTACAAAGCAGTCTTTCCTGAGTGGAAAAGACCCACCTTCCCAATGTAGCTCCTGCCCCACTGTAGCCAAGACCATGTGAGAGACACAAGTAAACAACACACACAGGACACAGCACTGCCTATGTCCATTGTCACCTACTCAGGGAAGGGGGAACGGAGGGCAAGCTCCCAAATACAGGGATTGGGGGGTCATCCTGGGGTGAGAAGTCTCACCAAGAGGGGAGGAAATTTTGAGGGGTCAACATTTTGTCCTTGTCCTTGTCTGAATACTCTTGTTTTGGAAACAACGTGTGTGTAGCTCAAGGGGTATCAAGTTGGAAAGAAAAGCAAGGCTGTGCCATTCCAGATGCAGAGAGCTACCTTTGAGATTCCCAACCCCAAACCAAAAAGCTGTCCTAAAAGACATACCACATTCTCTTCCTCAGTGCCCAGATAATCTGCTCATACAATGACCAGATGGTGCCTTTGGGCACCCTCTCAAAAACCTTTAGATTTCCTCCTCAACCCTAGGTGGGCAGTGTGTGCGGTGGGAGGTCAGCAAGGGCAACGGGCCTTAGTTACTGTTGCCTTCCTTATTGCTTCAGACCTCTTTGAGTAAGGAAGAAAAACAAGGAAGAGAGAAGTGGAAGAAGAATATAGAGAATATTCTTCTTCTCTATTCATCAAGGCTGCCCTGCCTGCTCTTCAGGAGCTAAAAGTCCTGAAAGCCCCTAGCAGACCTCTACAAACCAAAACCACATGTTCTGCCGCTAAATGGCTGCCACAGAGGAATCACATCATCTCATTTACTTTTTTTTTTCAGTCTCTCAGCAGTTTAAACTCCTACTTGTTCTTTAAGGCTTAATCAGAATCACCTCCTGAGCTCAGTCCCTCTGGTTTATGCTTCCTTAGCATCCAGTGGTGACCCCACTGCAGGATCTGTAGGATAAGCTGTAATTATATCTTCTTGGTTGTCTCCCCTGCTAGACTCTGAATTCTTTGAGGCCAAAGCCATCTTACTTATTTCTGTATCCTCAATCCTTAACATGGGGCCTATCAAACCTCAATCACTTGACAAATGTTGGTCAAAATTAACTGAATTCTAACAATTGTCTAAAATCACCTTCTCTGTCTTGTTAGTGGCACTAAAGTGTGTATTTGTTTACTTAAAACAAAATTCCCTGATTGCTTCTCAGTAGCTCACTTGATAACCAAACTAACTGGAAAGCAACACACATTCAGAACCACGTCTCCTAAAGGCTGGCCCAGCCTTTCTGATCCCTACTAGCCAAAGTCAGTGCTTTACATATGGAACACCCTCGAGACATGCTTGTTGAATTGACCTGATGGTGCCCGTGATGTAAGCTCCCCAGAGAAGTTGACCATCTGCCAAATATAGCTACAGTGTGTTTGAATTATGTTAAGTAGCTGACAAAGTTCAAGTGAGGAAGAAAATTACCAATCCCTCCTGGAAGTGGGCTGAAAGAAGGGCTTTCTTGCTTCCAAAATGTCCTAACATCTTGCTAAATACTGACATCTGTTTGCCTCCAGCTTGCTGCTCCCAATGTTTGCCAACTGGCCGAGAATGTTTGTGTCTTTACCAACTATCTTCCCCCATCGCACCCACATCACTTCCTTCCCAAGCTGGCAACCTCACAGGCACTACCTTGTAAGCACTGTACAGGCACCAAGGGTGAATACCCACCCCTCCACCGAGGAGACCACGCCTCTTGAAATGACCCAGTGTTTCCCCTGTCCTGCAAAAGTGTGAGTAGTACATCATCACAATCACAGACCCCGTCACCCTCCCCTTCTCTGCTTCTTTTCCTGTTGCCCTCTTAAATCACATATAATCTGGCTGCCATGACATGATTAAAGACGCTGAACCCTCATTCCAAGGGCACAAGTCCTTCTGGAGACAGACTGACTGGCATATAGTGTTTGACTATTGACCACCTCCATGCTCTTCTCTCCTGCTGTTCTCACCTCCGGCTGTCCTAGCTCTCCTCTGCCTCTCCAAGCTCTCCTGGAAGGGTTCACTAACTCCTCTTTTCCTCCTACCCTCTAACTCTGAGCAGTCATCGAAGCTGAACCCTTAGGTCCTCTGTGCATCTAGCTCTCTCCTCCCACTGCCTGGAAGACTTTGCTGCCTTATTCAGACATGTGTTCTTACACTTAAATGTATTTCATTCTTTTTCCTTTACATCCCTCAGTGCTCCGAGGTGACCAGGTTTCCAATCCTACATCAGGGCAACCACAAACCCATATAGCTCACCAGTTCTCTACGTATACTTCAGTACCACAGCCTAGTATGTTTTCTAGAGAATTTCATTCAAATCACCAGCTGTCATCACAAATTCATTTTCTCCCCTCTCCAAACTAGCTTCCTTTCACAGTATTCTCCTTTCTTCCATTAGGCCTCCATTTTTCTAAGGCACCAAGGAAGCACGTGACTTTAAAAAACAAGAGAAAGTGATGAGAGAAGAAAACCCCCAGAGACCTTTGTATTTAGAAACTAGCAAGAAAATGTTAATGCTTGCACTCTAATGCAGGGTTAAAGATGTGGATTTCTAGGACCTGTCCCCAGAGACTCCGATTCAGGAAGGCTAAGCTGTGGCCCAGGAATCTGCATTTTCACAATGTCCCCGAGTGGGTCTGATGCAAGCAGCTGTAGGTCACATTCTGGGAGACTGGGTTTTGGCAGTTAGATATAGGATAAAGGAGACAGGGCTAAAAATGTGTAAATGCCCAAAGGTGGCTTTAAATAGAAGCAATAAACTCTTACAAAGCTCTGTTGCTTAGGGATTTTTACTAAACCATAGAACTAAGATAGACCACAGAGTTTATCTGGTCCAACTTCTTCATTTAACAGAAGAAAAACTGAAGCTCAAAGGAGTTTAAGTGCCTACAGAAGGCCACATAAGTCCAAGGCAGAATGTTTAACCTAAGTGACAAAGGATGTCCTTTCATAGAAGTAGTAAAGGAAATAAGCACACAAACACACTCACAGGCTTAAAACAACTTTTTAAAAATGTGCAAATAAATTGCCTGAGGCTTTTTTTAATATGCAGATTGTGATTCAGCAAGGAGGGGGCCTGAGATCCTGCATTTCTAACAAGCTCCCAGGTGATGCCCTTGCTTCCAGGTGAGCATCCACCCTTTAAGCATCAAGTCTTAGAAAGTAAAATAACTGCTCTTCTGTTGTTCTAAATAAATAGTCTGCTTCTTTACAACAAGCACTTGTGCCATAGAATGTGGTCTACTCCTGGTGTCCTCAGCTGCACCGTGTGGACTGTATGGACTCGCTACAGTGCTGCCCCTCAGCCCACCAATCACCTGTTGACAGCCAGCAGAGATGGCGCCTAAAACAAAGGTACTCACACCAAACCTCAGCTCCTGACTGTTACTGTAACAACCATGTTGAAAAGTGTCATGGCCTGATGAAAATTGGGGATTTAAAATGATGTAGCCACATACTGTTCTTGAAAACATATTTGGAAAATTAGATTATTTCATTTTGAAGGAAGCTTTCAAATTAAAAATAAATGTCCTTGTCTAGAAATACATGTGGAATGAAACAAGAGGGTTTTATTTGGAATTAGGAAACAAAGCAGCACTTAGTGCCATTGTTATGAACAAAAGCTGGATGACACCCAGAAAAAGAATGGTGTCCTGGCATGGAGGTAGGCTTTGGCACCATATTGCCTGGCTTCAAAACTTGGCTCTGTCACTGACATGTTGTGGGATTTGGAGTGACTCATTTAACCTCAGTTTTCTTATCTGTAAAATGGAGTTATTATGAAAATTAAATGAGTTACTACAGAAAAAAGCACTCAGCATGAAGCCTGACACATGGTGGGAATTCAGTACAAACTGGCTATAAATACTACCAGAGATCTGAGTGCAGCAATGAACCACAGTTTAGTTAATTCAGCAACAGGGAGCTCAGTCTGATCAGTCACAAGGTAGAATTCCCCTCGTGTATCTGCCTCCGCACAGCTAGTGTCATAGGTGTGTAGTTGCACAGGGTCTTCAGAAGGCCCTGTGTTTGGGATTTAAGGCCCTATCGTCACTGTCTCCAATTTCTTAATAATTTAATTTTTGAACCTGTGCTTTGTAAGTGAAGTCTGAGAGAATGAAGGAGCATGTGCTGGGGGTTGGGACCTAGGCTTATTGAGAGTCCACCTCCAGCTACCTGCCCAGGACAGGCTCTTAGCTAACCATTCCCCCAACCACTGGGGCCCCAGGCCTTGCCTGGCTTCCCTACCCCTTCCACCTAGCAGAGGGAAGGTGGAGGTCAGGTACATACACCCCACAATGTCTCCAGGCAAGTCATGGTGTCAGCCATCCCTCCCTTGAGTTGGCAGCACCATCACCGCATGCTCAGCAACTCAGCAGTAAGCCTCCTGCCCACCCACAATCCAGGTAGCTAGCACTTCCCTGTGCTTGCAATATCCTTGGAGGTTGCCTCCTCTAAGTTGAAGCAGCAAGTCCATGGAAAGAGAGATACCTGGAACAATTTCTCTGCTCCTGGCCAGGGCTCAGTCCTGCAGCTGGGGGAAGCGGGAACCCAGCAGCCAGTAGGCCATGTGCACCAAATCACAAGGTAAGAAGAGAGCCAGACACCTGGAGGTTTGCACTGGCCCCTAAGAGGCTTGTGCTAAGGCAGCAAAACATTAAATAAAAAATAGAAAACACCATGATAGATCAAGAGAGAGATAGTGAAAGAAAGGAAAGCATTTTATATATTAACACCTACAATAGTACTTTTCTTTGCTATTTTTGAACATGAAGCTTCACATTTCTGTTTTGACCTGGGCCCAGCAAATTACAGAGCTGATGCTGACCAGGAGCATCTGGCCCCCACCCCAAATGCTCTACTTGGTGCTGCATTCACCTCCCGCTCATTTTATGTTTGGTGGACCAAGACCTAACCCTTTCTCAGAAAGGACTCCCTGATACAGACTCTAATAAATACCAGTCAGCCTCAAAAATGGTCAGCGAAGCCAGTGGAGAATGGAGAGAAAGAGTCCCTTGAGAATCAAGGCCACTTGGAAGCTAAGAGATTCTCAGGAGAAGTCTGGCAACCTAGAGAATGGCAACCAGGCTGAGGGGATAAAAAGCACCAAAACTGCTCCTGGAAAAGATTTTCCAACATTTATTCCACCATCCCCATGGTTCCCAAACTATGCACCAAGATACCATGGGCCACCATAGAAAATTCATAGGGGCTATGTGAATTTTTAAATTTTTGAGGGAAACACATCAATGCTTGGCATCTGTCAGATATTGCATAAGCTACTAGCAAAAAGTAGCTCTCAGTTTCAACCTTAAACCACACTCCATTCCTTTAAATGACGTCATATCTTTGCAAAACTGGATTTGAGGCAATTTCTATGATAAAAAGCAAGCACAGCACAAAAAATCAATGGAGAACAGGAAATAAGGGGAGCAATATCCAATTTGAGTCCAGCCTCTGAGAAGCTGTGCAGTGCCCAACAGGCACACACATCTCATTAGTAAGTAACTGTGGTTTGTTAAAAATGAAATAAAAGTACTTTTCTTGGGGAGATTGAGAAGGAAATGTTGGTCAAAGAATACAAAATTTAAGTTAGCCAGGAGGAATACATTCAAGAAATCTATTGTATAACATGGTGACTATAGTTAATAACAATGTATTGTATAGTTGGAAATTGCTAAGAGAGTAGATTTTAAGTGTTCTCACCACAAAAAAAAAAGATAAGTATTTGAGGTCCTGAACATGTTAATTAGTATAATTTAGCCATTCCACAATTTCAAAACATCATGTTGTATACCATAAATACATACAATTGTCAAAAAATAAATAAGAAAATACTTTTCATTTATATGCATCATTTTTTTCAAATGGCTACTGGATTGTTAGAACATTAGTACTTATTAAGTTGTTTGGATCTAACTACTTAATCAACAGATCTACTAAGTATTCTGTTTCACGTAAGGGTGCCACAGAAAACTTACTGAGATGTTAAGGTACCGTGAACTGAGAAAGTTAAAGGACCTCCACACTACACAATTCCTTTTTTTTCTTCTATAATGAGAGTCTCAGGAAGGAAGGGACAAGGAAGAGGATTACAAGGAGCACATACCCAGTGGAATTAGAGCTGGTCTCAGACAAGTGTAAACTAACAATCAACAGAGTGATATTTGTCACAATTATGTTTAAAGAAGCTACTTTCAAGATTCAAACTTTAACCTGAATGCTTACAGTATAGAAATAATATAGTTTTTTTAAAAATATATACAAATATATAAAATAAATCTAGACTCTTTCATCTTCAGCCTGGAGGATGAATGGTCCAATTTGGAAAAGGTTAAAAGAGATGTTAAATCTATGAGTGAAGGGTGAAAAGACAGATACTACAGGGAAGCTTACTGATTTAATTGGGCTGGATCAATTCTAGTAAGAAATTCCCAGAAAAATCCAATTGCAGGTCAAGGCTGAAGCCTGCCATGCTGAGCCAAGCCACAGATAAGGCTAGTGCTCTCAGGCACCATAGAGAGATATGTAGATTCAAAACTTTCAAGCTTGAGAAAGAAGAAAAAGGTAATTGGAGGAGAGTTGGGTCAAAAAGCAGGAAGGGCCCCTCTTGGTTACTGAATAAAAGCACAAAGATAAATGGGTATCTTTAGTTCACAACCTGTTCTGCTTGCGGCCAGAAAGACCCTTTGGCCCACCCAACAAAATGAGTGAACTCATCCCAAGGACTCAAGAACACAAAGATAGGGCATCAGCTAAAGACACAGAGAAAGATATATAGGCAGCTCTGTTATCATGAACTGAAGTGGGGAAATTACACATCTAAAGACCATCAAGCTAAAGGATAATATTCTATGGGGAATTTGGATGCTGATATGGTTTGTCTGTGTCCCCACCCAAATCTCATCTTGAATTGTAACTCCCACATTTCCCACCTGTCGTGGGAGGAACTCAGTGGGAGGTGACTGAATTATGGGGGCAGGTCTTTCCTGGGCTGTTCTCATAATAGCGAATGAGTCTCACGAGATCTGATTATTTTTAAAATGGGAGTTTTTATGCACAAGCTCTCTATGCCTGTTGCCATCCATGTAAGAGGTGACTTGCTCCTCCTTGCCTTCTGCCATAATTGTGGAACTGTAAATCCATTATAAACCTCTTTTGCAAATTGCCCAGTCTTGGGTATGTCTTTATCAGCAGCATGAAAAGGAACTAATACAGTTGCCCAGTCTCATTTTCTTAATGTATCCAGGTAGTTTGACCCCTCAAGTTGAAACCCCAGGCTTAGGGAATAAACCTGGATACTTGCAGTCTCACCGATGGAAAGGACAGCGGGTCCTTGAGCAGCAGAAATACAGAGCCTCACAGGATGACTTGTTCCAGAGAGAAGTAGGGAGGCAGCAGCTGATGACATCAACAACTGTGCCTCGGCCAGGTCCTCTCACTGGGCTCCACCACCCAGGCCCAGGCTCCTTCTGCTTGGGAGTTTGGCACGCGCACAAGTGCAGGCAGGGCCAAAGCAAAAAGATTCCTCAATCAATAAGGACTGCTGCAGTTAAACTCACATCTGCTTCCCCTCTCTCTTCCTGCTCCTTCTGCTTCTGCAGATGCCCTGGATGCTGAATGCATCGTATACTGCCTTCCATGATTGAGCTTTCACCATTTTATCTTCTTGGCCTTTATCTACTTCCCTGATCCCTGGCCCCTTGCTGACTCTGGCCAGGCTTCCCCCTCTGGTTCTGACTCTTGATCATTCTATAAACTATGAGAATTTCTTGACCTTTAAAACTTGCTTCTGTTCCCTCAATCCCAGTTCCTCACTCTCTGCCCAGCTTCCAGAATAATGTACTCATACCTGAAGACAGAGTGGCAAAAGTGGGGGCGGTATGGTGGGAGGCACTAAGAAAAAGTACAGGATATGGTCCTGAAGGCTTAATCTCCAGAGGAAGAAGCAGTCTGCAGATCGTCCTCCCCACCAGCTCTTCACAAAGCCAAATGTGGTAAGGGATAAATCAATGGCAGTTAAAACTCCCTCTAAGAGAGAGGAAAAAGATCTGGCAGGGCCAGCCAACATGGATAACTCTGGGGAAAAAGATTTGCCAAATATCCAATTTAAAGAACTTGGAGTTTCTGAGAAAATTCAAACAAAACTTTTCTCCTTTCAAAAAATCCTCTTTATAGACTAAGAGAGGAAACAAATCATGTTGAAGAGTAGTTGTTACACATAGATTATAGCTACCCTAAAATTGTTGACTGAACTTTCCTGGGAAGCCCATAAATATTTGGTGGGTCCTACAAAAAATAAACTAAGGATACTGTAATTGGCTCAGAACTTAGCTTGTAAAGCTCATCCAGAGACTGGCAAGGCTGGAGGTTTGTTGCGGCTGGATTTCTAATAGCTAGGGACAGATACCAGCCAGTGGCAGGTTGTTGTACGTTTTGTGTGTCATGTCTGAGAACAGGGACTCCCAGGCATAAGACAACCATTATAACATGCATTTTCCCAGAGTTGAGATAAGCAAAGGAAGACTTTCTCCTAAATTATCAGAGACCCCATAGACTTTCAAGAGATTAAAGGAACCTCAGTGATCATCCATTTCAGCACTTTCACTTTATAGTGAAGAAACTCAGGCCCAGAGAGGTACAGTGGCCTGCCCAGAATCAGAAAGGAAACCAGTGCATAATAGCTGAGAGCAGCATACAGGAATCCCCTCTCCAGGCTGGGGACATACCCCTTTGCACCACGCTACAGACATAGAACTGCACAAGGCAGCCAGACGACTCGAGGTCTCCACTGACATCCAAAGGACAGACTTCCACTGATCAAATTTTGGGAGATTCCTCTCCTCCCTCAAAAAAAAAATAAACACAAACAAATTTCCTTTCAAAAGCTGAGCAATCCTGTAAAATGCCCCCTCAACTACAGCATACACAAGACCTGCAAGGCAAGGGGCTGGCAAAAAGTTAAACAACCCTGAAAGGGAGGTTAAAGAACACAGGGTTAAAAGTCCTGATGCTTGAAGAGATAAATTGCCTCCTTTGTTCTTAATCTGCACAAAGGCTCTCCAGGAATTCACAAGGCTCTCACCATTCAACCTGACATATAGGAAGGTCACATTAAATCCAACAGCCCAGAAATGGAAAACTCCCGGAGAACAAAGCTTCAGTACTGAGGGTCCTGGAAGGAATGAATAAGGTGGGTACCTGGGTGCAGAATCAATGCACAGGAATGGAAAAGACTTGGCATGGGGAAAAAAATGGCACCCACTAGAGTGATTACAAGAGATGTAAAGCGATTGCCCTCATCCTCTGTACTAAAGAGATTTTGGATGGGATTTTATAGTGCCATCTCTGTAGTCAGATCCCATCAAATCTGGAGTTCTATGGCTCTAGGGCCTCCAGGAAACCTAAAGTAGCATGTGATCGTGATCACACACTCAGCGCATGAGTCTGTCAGAGAGGACCTCCACTGGAGAGCTGCCTTGGTCCTTCTCATAGGAAAACCCAAAATCTAAGGGGGAAATCACAAACAGGCCTATTCAATGCCCAGAATCATGCTAGATAGAGTAATTAAGGTGGTCTGAAAATATGTCTCAGAGAATGACTTCTATGCATAACAAGTTGAATAAATACTTCAAAACAAACTAGATAGAATAGAGTGAATAGCTGTAAGAGCTTAGAAACTAGGCCAGGGTAGAGAGAAGAAATTAGATGACCTCCTTTTGGATTCAAGAGACGTGTTTAGTGGCATCAGGAGCGGGGAAGAGGAAACATTCTCTCTAACAGTTGGCAGACTTCTATGAACCCTGCATCCCTCCAGCAGTCAGTTGCCCTGGCTCAAAAACCAGACATTTACAATCAGATTCTATGGGAATGACAGAAAATTAAATTGTATAACCAAGTCCTATGCATGCCCTCTGCTAAAAGTGATACATTACAAAATCTGTTGGCAAATGCTAAAAATCATTTCTGTTATCAATTTATGTAAAAGCTTTTGGCAAATGGAATCCAAACCCCCTTCCCCCAAAAGTAACTGTTACACCAGACACGGAAGTTTAGCATTTTACCCTCTGAGATGAGGAATTCACCCACTTTCTTCTTAAAGTTCAAGGGTCCTGATGGTTAATGGCTAACTGAGTAAGCTATTTGCTATAAACTCCACTAATTAAAAGGCTGTATTCAGCTAGATTATAGATGATAAACTTCTAGAGATCCTTTGGTTGGAACTACTGATAATCACAACCCACAAAGTTAAACTTAAATTTAACCAATGTTAATTAGGACTTCCAGAAATCCAGGTTTCAGGAAAAGAATATATAACCATTCTCAGGAAGACTGTATCATACAACTCACAAAGCTCCTACTGCCGAGATACAAATTAGTTCATCAGTGGACAATATAGTCTAGACTACCCTGTTGTACAGATCAGTTGGCCAAAGTTTCCAATTTAGGAAAGGCAGTTTGAAGGTCCCTGGTCTGGTGTCTGGAGTCAGGCAAAATGTGGTAAGGCTGGCTAACTGAGCACCATGAAGATAGGGGCTACCTGTTAGGGAAAGGCCTTACAGGTACATTCTGAGGGTCTGCCATAGCTTCAGGGAAGTGTCAGGACTGGAACTGGAGGAAAAACTACCCCAGAGTTCTGTGAAGTTTGCATAGCAGCCAGGTAGGGAAGGAGGGTATTTAGCATGTTCTCCATTTGCCTCCAGAGGCTTCTGCAACATTTTATTTTATTTTTATTTTTATTTTTATTTTTAAGTGATGGGGTCTTGCTATGTTGCCCATGTTGGTCTTGAACTCCCGGGCTCAAGTGATCCTCCCACCTTGGCCTCCCAAAGTACTGGGATTATAGGTGGAAGCCACAACACCCAGCCTCTGCAGCCTTTTAAACAAAGCAGGAAAAGGAAGATATAGAGGAGGATGTGGTACTGCAGCTGATGCTGAAAAAACCCAAGCCTCTCATATGCAGCCATCTCTACCCAGCCTAGGGTTTTCCTGTTGCCTAGAAACAGTCACAAAGCATATTGGAAAGGTTAGCATTAAGTATCCAGGTGCAGGCTCTGTGGCTTATCTAGAACAATTCTTGACCCAAGCCTGACTTTACCCCTATATCTGAGCTTTGCATTTGGCTAGAGGCCTGGGGATTTCCCCCCATTTTGCACATGGCAGACACTGTTCCTGGGAAGGGAAAAAATTAATTTGACACAAGCAATCAATCCCAATGGAATGTTTATGCACAACAAGCCAAGCGGAAATGGATCTTAAAGGGAACACTTCTGCTAGGTGATGGGAATTTTAATGCTGAAAAATGACATTGTGTCAAGAACCCAACATGATCAAAGGAGCACATACATTCATATCCAAAGCATGAGCAACATCATGTGCATGCACACAGCACATATATGCACAGGTAAGCAAGCAGACTTGCCCCACTTGTGGGAAAAGTTGTCTGAGTATATAACTGTCCAACCGTCAGTCACTCTGGGTTTTTTTTTAACGTTTTGTATTCAAAATATGTAGAGTTTGAAGAATGGAGCAGTGCTAAACCCTTTTACAGTAGAAAGCTATAGTAGCATGTGAAGTGTTCCTATACTCCTGTGTGATTCCTATGATGTCAGGCTTGGTGAAAGCACCATCAGTCTTCACCCACAACCTAAGCCAAAACCTGGAGATTGTCTGAGACTTCACCTCTCCTTCAATCCCAACATCAACTAGACATTAAATCCTGCAGATACCCCACCATTAAATTTCTTGTATCATCAACTATATTTCAGTAGTTTCCTATCTAGAATTCCTATCTCCAATTTTGTCCTTCCAATGCCATATTATCCCTTCTAAATTAGATTGTTTTTATTCCATCACTTCAATTCTTAAAGTCTTCTATAACTCTCTAGTGCTTACAAAATAAAATCCAAATCCAGAGGTGGGCATATGCCTGGAGTCCCAGCTACTCAGGAGGCTGAGGTGCAAGGATCCCTTGAGCCCAAGAGGTCGAGGCTATAGTGAGCAACTATTGTGCCGCTGCACTCCAGCCTGTGTGATACAGTGAGACCCCATATCTTTAAAAATATAATCCAAATCCTAGAATATAAAATCCAACTCCTGAGAAAATCCAAGACCTCACATGTCTCTCCAGTCCCTCTCTCCCTACAATCCTCTAATTCTCCATGATGTTTATACAACTCTCTCCCTTTGCTCACCTTTCTTCCTCTGCTAGGAATGCCTCTCCCCACTTGTCACTATGGATAATGAATTCCTCTTCCAAATGCCATTCAATCATCTCCTACTCTATGACAACCACCATATCCACCAACATAGACTTCATTCCTCATTTATGGCCCTGCTATCCACTACTATAGTCTTATCATATAACTGGAATGCTTTAGTGTACTTTTTAGAAATCTAGTATGTTTCCCTCTACCAAAATGTAAGTTCTCTAAAGCTCTAGAAAATGTGGAAGAAAGGAGAGTTCTGCATGGAAGGAAATGTAAGAGAGCCAAGATGGCAATTTACCCTATTTCTCCTTTTGAGATGCTGGAGTTGGGCTGGGTTTGCACATACACTAAGAAAAGAAGATTCTGGACGGCTTTTTACCATCTTCTCTATCTGATGCAAGAGAAGAAAGGTTCAAGGACATGGGATGACAGGAAGATGAATAAGTTAGTCCTCCCTGTACCTTGGAAGAGCCAGAAGAAAGGCGGTCCCTGATGAAGGCATTATCTAGGATGTTTAGGCACACAGACTTGGAATCCAAAAGAAAAGGCTGAGGAAGTGTAGGCTTTTTAACACAGGCCCAGAAACCCCAGAAACATGGTTGTTTGAAAAGATTCTGAGAACCAAAATTGTTTGAAGCCACTCATTTGCTGACTGTCAGGATGATCCTCCCCAAGGGGGCTAGTGCCCCTGTTCACCATATAAGGATGCTGGGTCACCTCTGAGTTCTGGCATCAGGAGGACTGACCAAGCAGTCTTGAGCTGTAGAGATGAAAGATCTCAAAAGGGTAAAGTCTCCAGAGAACCAGGCATAAAGGTCCTGAAACCACTTACCACTTGGTTCCTATGCCCCTGGGCTTCCCTGTCCCCCCACCTGCTATCCATTCAGTTCATAATATTGTAGATGGAAGACGCATTAGAGACCTTCTAGCTCAACTCTCTCTTAAGCCTCAGAGAGGGACACACTTGCCCAAGCTCGGCAGTAACAACTGTTCTTCCGAAACCCAGCCCACTGCTCTTTCCACTTGAACCCAACCATCTGACTCTGCCACTTACCTGTTGTGTTATTTTTGCTCAGTGCTTGCCCCACCCGGCTTGACTTGCCAGGCAACTAGTTTCTCCTCCCTTCACAGGGGACAGAGTTCCCAGTTTCACCAAAGTAGAAATACTGCTCACAGCCCCTAGCGCTGTTTGAACTCCATGGCCCTGGATTGAGTATAGTGTATAAAACACAAAAGTTTTCCGCATCAAAAGAGGTGAAAGAATTTTGGATAAAAACAACAACAACCAAACAACTCCACCACCACAGAAGCAGAAGAACAAAAAATCTAATTTGGGCTTCATTTTTTCCATTGATTTATTACTGACTAAAATTGGTCTTATTTACCACATCCTTGCTATAAAACATATGTTCATGAAAACCCAGACTGATGTTAAAGGAATTCACTTTATTTGAGAAAAGCAAAAGTGACTAGAACTCGTCATTGTTGAAAGTTGAAGAGACTTGGAAAGCAGATCCTAGCAAAGTAAGGAGAAACCAGACCCACTAAAGGCCCCTAGCTCAACCATTAGTCATATTTATCAGACCAAAACACCAACCTCTCAGAAAGCAGAATTCAGCCATGCAGCTCTATAATGTAATCCATCTTCACTCCATCATTCTCCTAAAACCACGAGCTCCTTGAAGACAGAGACTGCGTCATATGCCCCTCTGTACATGATCTGTAACAAGTGCTCACTACATGCTTGCTGGAAGAATCAACAACATCACACCCTTGCATGTTTACATGCACATAAGCATATACATGTATATACATGGAATCCCGATGAAGGCAATCTCGGGAGCCTCATTTCTAAACCTTTCTTCCCCCCAAATTATTGTTTTAACTAGGGTAATACTTTTTAAAATATAATGTACTTTCCTCTTTTGCATGTCTTTATATATATTTAACCTCCTCCTTACTCTGCCAGAAGCATCTATTTGCCTCAAGGAAGTTTAGGATAGTTATAGCAGCAGGCAAAGAGAAAGCGTCAATGTTCAGCTGTTGACATCCAAAATAGGATTTTTTTAGTATGCAGCTTGAATTCTCAAGCTCCCACTAACATATTAAGATACAGCCTGGGTGGACTTGACCATTAAGGTTTTCTTTAAACCAGAGATAGACAGTACTAAGGATATGACATAGGGGAGATCCCTGCCATAAGGAAAGAGGGAAAGCCCTTTTCCTCGGGCATCTGGGGAACATGGGAAAAATTCAGTCTAGATCGGATACCAGGGTCTCAGGCTCCACTATATATACTCCCACCTTAAGGCTCAACCAGAGTTCAGGGAACAGCTTTGGAAATACCCTAATGGTTATGAGGGCACCTGAGAACCCTAAGGCTACTCCTGAGGTGTTGAAGGCCTCTAGAAAAATGCCTACCTTTTCACCAGTTGTGGTGTGGAGGGGAGAGGATGGTGGTGAACAGATGAAAACACAGCACTGGCCAAGGTGAATGTCTAGTTAGGGAGCCAAGTGCAGAGGTTCTGTCTTCTCACACTTGGTGCTGAGCAAGCTGGGATCCATATGCTTCTTTGTTCCCTGCTGATGGTACTCATTCAGTGACTGGGCAAAGGCCTGGAGTCAGGACTAAGAGGCTGCCATATGTAGGGTCTTTGACCGCATAGGCAAAAAGTAGGACATAAATTTTAGTCCTGGGTATTAGCACAATATTCCAAAAAACAAGAGAGGTCATCAGACCAGCCCTGCCTCCATGAAGCAAAGACCAGTGGGATCTAGCTATCTTGCCTTGGCTCCAAGTACCCTTCTTCCTTTGCTCCCATCACTACCACCACAAGTTCATGTAAACACCTCTATGCACCCAGACCCCACTCTGAAGAGAAGTGGAGGAACATAAGAAAAATCTGAGCAACTGAGCAATTTACCTAAATGAAATAGTCATCCAAAAGAGATTAATCCAGAAAAAAGAATAATATATTATAAACTAGCAAAACAGGGGTGGGGGCTTATCAGAAAGACTGGCTCCACTTTAGAAAATTTGAAAAGCTACAGTTTCTTTGCACATCTGGGTAATAAGAAGTAAGTGTGCAAGTGAACTACACTATTACCCACCAGAAAGAAAACCTCAGCCATCTGGGCAGTTAGATGAGCTACTCTTCCACTCTCATACACATGTCTCTTTTCCAAAAGCAAATGGAACATGTCATGAAAAGTTTCACTCCATTTCTAGTGCTGCCAATTTCCTACCAGACATGAAAAAATGTACAGTCCTCAAGTGCAGTACAGGCTGTCACTCCCATCTGAGTCCCCCAGCTCAGCTTTCAACCACACTCAAAACCGAAGGAGACCCCAGAGAAGCAGCTGACAAAATCCCTTTTCATTTAGTCAGCATTTTGTTTTTCCAAAGCATTTTCTTTCTATCATCTCACTTTATCTCATACTATTCCTATGAGGTATGGCAGGGCAAGTATGTTTACCTCTTTCTTCGAATGAGGAAAGAGAGATCCCATCTGTAAAAACAGGCATATTACCGGGTTTGGCCAAGTCACAGAGCTATTTAGTGGTGGGTAGAATTAGAAACCAAGGTCTCCCGAATGACATCCTTGGAGTCTCCTAGCCAACAGCAGGCTATGGCTTTTGCATACACAATCTAAAGTGCTGCCATAGCTAACTGTGGTATTGGAATTAACTTACATTCAAGCTCAAGAACAGATGCGGCTTTTTTGGCTAATTGAGACTGCAAATCTGGCTCCTAAGGCACACTGAAAAACAGGTCAAGAATGGCCTCTACCATTTATTTAAATGTCACTAACAAAAGTGTCCTTAAACGTTACACAAAAAGTTATCCTTCAGAGAACAGGGACTGGTTGTTCTTCCTCTCTCCTGAGGATAAAGGCAGAGAAAACAGCCCAAACCTACAGTTGTCCTACAGTCACCTTTGAACAAGATCAAAAAAATGAATGGCCTTTCTTGCTACTCTTTGGACCAAATAATGTCCCAGAACAAACACCCGTCCACAGAAAATCTGGGTTATAAATGTCTATCATTAGGAGAATGGTTTAATAAAGTAACACATCCTCACAACAGAATGTAACACAACTGTTAAAACAAATGAGGTGGCCGGGTGCGGTGGCTCACGCCTGTAATCCCAGCAGGATTGGGAGGCCAAGGCAGGCGGATCACGAGATCAGGAGATCGAGACCATCTGGCTAACACGGTGAAACCCCGTCTCTACTAAAAATACAAAAAAAATTAGCTGGGCGAGGTGGCGGGCGCCTGTAGTCCCAGCTACTCGGGAGGCTGAGGCAGGAGAATGGTGTGAACCCGGGAGGCGGAGCTTGCAGTGAGCCGAGATCGCACCACTGCACTCCAGCCTGGGTGACAGAGCAAGACTCTGTCTCAAAAAAAAAAAAAGAGGTAAAGCTATAGGTACTGACATAGAAAAATGTCCATGATTATAAAATGATAAAAACAAGTTGCAGAATAACAGGTATAACATGATCCTCTTTTTGTTAAATGAAAAAAAGCTATCCATTTGTATAAAGATGTATATGCAACAGGTGCATGCATGTATATGTTGAATTTATCTAAACATAAGGGAGTAAGAGAGAGAAAGAGTATTCACTTTGACCATATATCTTATACTTTTGTTTTGTGTAAATATTTTTACAACAGTGTCAATACCTTTACCCCTCCAAACAATGAATGGATCCTCTGTCTTCCTATATTGCCCCATATAAAGGTCAATTGGCTTATAAATGTCTTACTTTGTTCAATAGACATATGTATAGGAATGTATCATACCTTAAAGTTAGTTGGAAAAAATGACCTCATTTTGGAAAAAGTCTACCCCCTTCATTTGTTTTTCATCTTAATTCAATAATCGAAAAACAAACCATGGATCAAGGGAGTGAATCCACATAGGAAAAAGGACGAGAAGGAAATACCTCATATCAGCAAACGGGTTCTCTCTGGGTGATAGAATTACAGTGGCTTTTCTATCCTTTATATTTCATCACATTTTTCAAATGGTCTACAGTTAGCCAGCATTAAAATAATGCTTTATATTTTTAAAAACTTCAATATAAAAAGTGTTCTGGCCGGGCGCCGTGGCTCATGCCTGTAATCCCAGCACTTCGGGAGGCCAAGGCAGGCGGATCATGAGGTCAGGAAATCGAGACCATCCTGGCGAACACTGTGAAACCCTGTCTCTACTAAAAATAAAAAAAAATAAAAAAAAATTAGCCAGGCGTGGTGGCGGGCGCCTGTAGTTGCAGCTACTTGGGAGGCTGGGGCAGGAGAATGGCATGAACCCAGGGGGCAGAGCTTGCAGTGAACAGAGATCGCGCCACTGCACTCCAGCCTGGGCAACAGAGCGAGACTCCATCTCAAAAAAAAAAAAAAAAAAAGTGTTCTATGAAGGTATACCTAAAATTGAGTCTCTCTAAATAAAACCTTATTTTACCACTTATTTAAATTATCACTTAGCTTATAGACAATAAATACATATTAAATGAGTCAATGAATGACTAAAACTCCCTTTCTGATTGTTCTCTAATTAGCCATTATTTTCCTAATTCAACAAGACTATAAACTTTTCAGGGACAAAGATCATGTGATAGCCATTTTCATTAGCCCTCTTAGTATCTGGCATAATACTAGGCACATGGCAGACATTCACTCAATATTAATTAGTTGATCCATTTGCATGTTTGAACTTTCCTACTTGGATCTTTCTAAAAGAAGAGTGAATATTTATTTTTCCAGCGCCTGTGAATTATGTGAATATTTATAAGCAAGTGATAAAAGGAGTCCCCTCTAATTAATCCACACAACAGCTGTATTTCACAACGTTGACTTCATAGGTCTTTTGTTTAAAGCAGAATTGCCTGTCGACAGAAAAAAAAAAAAAAAAAAGATACATTTCCTTAGCACAGTGTTTCATTATAAGACTCCCAAGTAGCCTAGACACCAATAAGTAGCTTTTTTGAAAAAAAAAATGGGTCAACAAATACTAATGGAGCAAGTATTATTTGCAAGGCACTAACCTGGGCATTGACAAGAATACAGACAAATCCAAAGCAAAGTGTGTATACAACCTACTTGGAGAAACCAGACATAAACATTTTCCAAAGTAGGGCCTCCAAAAGGCCTTAAAGCCATTGATGTTCCATAAAGTTTGGGGAAGAGAATAGTATCCAAACAAGTGAAGTGCACACCTCATCCTCACCCTAGACATCTCGTCCAAATCACCAGCCAAAAACACTGTTTTTATCCCCGCTCCAGAGTCTCCAGGGCTGAGCAAGAGTCAGAACCAGACATACCCAGCCCATTCTGAAATCAACTGAACAGATCATTCTTTTATGCAATTCCCACTCACTCTCCAGAGAATGGATCCAATCCATCTCCTCTCTTCCCAGGCTCACAGCATCTCCCAGTGCTTGCAGATGACCTTGGCTCCCATTCACTAAGATGACTGAGGTTAGCTTAATAAGAGCTCCAGCATCTGACCTGAAAAACACCTGGTCTTTCCTCATAGCCATAGAAGAAAAGGTGACCATCCATTCCAGAGATAACCTCTTTGCCCAGAAATCTCATTCTTTCCTAACTTTGGGGAAGCTGGTACCCACCCTGGTACCCCACTAACACATATACCACCTTCTAATACTTTGAGTCTCTACCATTGTCTCTTCCTATGACTTTTTCAAACATTCAAAGTTTTTCCTTGATCTGAAAGAAAAAATCACTGGACCTGATAACCTTTTAAAATTTTTGAATTAAGAATAATATACATGCATAAAACTGCACATATAAGTTTACAGCTCATTAAGATTTCACAAAAGAAACATACACCTATGGTCTAGAAGCAGAGCAATATCAGTACCCCCAAAATGTCCTTTTGATTACCATCTTATTTTTCTCCTTACTTTTATTACCAAGCTTCTTGAATAGTGGTCTATGCTCATTATTCTTGTTTGCACTACCTTTTCATCCATTTCAGCCCAAGCACTCTCTCTTCAATGAATCTTCCCCACGCCCATCCGGGTGAGGTTGTTAATCCTTCCTCTATACATTAGTGTGCATTCCTCTTTACTGAACTTATACTACACTGCAATCACCTGTTTATGTATCAGGCAACCCCCCCCCCCCCATTAGGCTGTTAACCTCCTTTCGGGAAAGATTATTTATAACTTGTCTGTGTACCCCCAGTGCCTGGCACTTAGTAGGTGTACAGCTGGTGTCTGACACTTCGATAAATGAGTGTAAGAATAAATGAAGAGATCTGCTCACTGAAATCAGTACTATGCTAAAATTGATTAGTTCTTTCTCCAATTCCCATCAAAAGGAATGATACTTAGCTGTCAAAACTCAGTGGTTGGGATCATGAAGAATGACTAGAAAACTGTACTGTTACAATCTTTGGTTAAGTGTCTCTTTACTTCCAAGTATCTGAGCATGTTATGTGCCAAAGCACTGGTGTACACAGAAGAGGCTTAAAATCTTGCACTTAAAGCTGTGACATTAAAGCTCTGACTTAAAGCTGTGACATTACTCCCTATGGTGTTTTGTCCTTCCACTGCCACACCCTGACACGGAGTCCTACCAATCTTTTCCCCAATTGTTCCTAGAGCCACTCCTCTCTTTCCCCACTACCTCATTTCAGGATAGTAAGTAGTCAGACACAAGAATCCCCCAGGAGCCCAGACCCCTCCTCCTAGCCCTTTTTTGTCACATCCAATTAACCATCTGCCAGTCTCCCGGGTCCCCTTCTAGGCCCACTGTCCAGCTGCCAACTCAATATTGTGCCCCCACCCCATAGATGCCCATTGTCCCTGGGCTGGGTAAGAGTATAAAAGATGGAGATTTTAGCCTCATCCCTAATCCCCGCCTGTCATGCCTTGGAATAATTGTAACTGCAAGTTTAAAAATCATAACCCTATCTCCACACTGTTACCAAATGAATGAAGAGAAGGAAGAGAAGGAAGAGAAGGAAGGAAGGAAGGAAGGAAGGAAGGAAGGAAGGAAGGAAGGAAGGAAGGAGGGAGGGAGGGAGGGAGGGAGGGAGGGAAGGAAGGAAGGAAGGAATCAGTGTTCATGATTTTGAAAATAAAGGGATTCATCTAACTGGTAACATAATCATAATATGTCGTACATGTAATATGTCATACTAGTAATATATAATACCACATTACTAGTAATATCCTATTTACATTACTATTCACAATATGAATATAACTATCAGAATATATCTATTAACATGAGCAATTTTTTTTTTTTTTTTTTTTGGAGACAGAGTCTCACTCTGTTGCCCAGCCTGGAATGTGGTGGTGCGACCTTGGCTCACTGCAACATCCACCTCCTGGGTTCAAGTGATTCTTCTGCCTCAGCCTCTTGAGTAGCTGGGATTACAGGTGCCCACTGAAAGGCAAGGATTTTTTACCCATTTTACAGATTTATAAACTAAAGCTTGGAGTGGTTATAACTTGCACAAAGTCACAAAGCTGGTAAGTTCCTGTTCTAAGATTCTATGATTCTGGAACTGGTCTACACTTTAGGAAACTCCCACCTTCTTGTGTTCTAGGGTAGATAAGCCTGGTGCCCCACAATCCACCCTTTGGTGGCAGCAACAGCCAGATTCCTACTCCCCAGCCCTCTGGAGGGTCGTGTGAGACCACTGAGGAGCCTTTGATGAAATGGGGCTTTTCATCTTGGGTCAGCCCCTGAAACAAGGGGTGGAAGGAGTGTTTGGGTCCAAGAAAGAGAGTATGGCATCTTCTCTTTTGTGTGAAGGATTCAACTTCATGGAGAAGAATGAGCAAGGGGCTCATTCATGAGCCCTAGCCTGCTTCCCCTTTCTTCTAGGACTTCTAGAGACACTACGGAAACTGGAAATTCATGAGCAAATCCCATCACTGATACAGTACCCTGATGGCCAGACATTGACCCCTCCTCAGAAGGCTGCCCAGATACCATCTTGCCTGAGTTTCCCTCCCTCTCTCCTCTCCTCACTTACTTCTTTCCCCGCTTGCCTTTCTGACTCATACTCTGTAGGAGGCAATTCTGCAGACCCCACTACAGCCTAGAGCAGTCCCACCTCGGCTTGCAAAAGAAAGCCACCAGCACTTTTAAACGGATTGCTAACTTTAGATCTCCCAGCCTCGCTTCTTAGCTTCTCTGCCCAAGAGCCTTCTAGGGCCACAACAGCTCAGCCCACCCATTTCACAGCTGCCTCAGCTTGTACTACCCTCCCCAAGCATGGCACCACTAGTCTCTGAGTCTTCCAGCCAGATGATGCTCTCTCTCCTGGAGCTGTCAATCTGGAACATTGTGCCCATTGGTCCTTCCCAGCCAGCTACTTCACTGAGGTCTGCCTTCCCTCCAGAGTCCAAGAAAGAAGCATCCTCCTCTGGCCCAAAGCTGAACTTGAGATCCACCCCTCCAGGCTCATCCAGGACCTTCCTCAATCTATTACTTCTGTCTTTTCTAAATATTAAGTCTCTTCCTCATGCCTGCCTTCTCCCTCTACCCTATCCCTAGGTATTCACATATCTTCCCTCCTAAAAAAAACCTCCCCTCAACTCTGCTCCCCATCTCCAACTACCTTGCTATTTTTAATCTTCCCTTCACAGTCAAACCTTTCCAAAGAGCCATCTATATGCACTCCCACCACTTCCTCCCCATGCGCTCACTCCTCATTCCCCTTGGAATTTGAATTCCACCTCCCATACACAATTGAAACTGTTATTTCAAAGATTACCAATGATTCCTAGTCTCCAGAACCAATGGTATTTGCTCAGTTCCCATCTCCCTCAACTTCTCTGCAGCATTAAACCCTGTTGATCACCTGTGTTTCCCAAGTATTGCTCTCTCCTGGTTCTCCTCCAGCCCTTCTGCATCTGTTCTCCTACAGCCCAACTGTAGATACCCCTGTATATACAATTCTGTCTTTGGCACTCTGCCCTTAATTCTGTGTATGCTTTTCATTTATTATATCATCTATTTTGATAGCTCCAGCCACAACTTCTTTCAGATAGCTCCCAAATCTATATTTCCAGATCTGGCCTCCTTCCAAAGCTCCAGACTCCCTTCATTATCCACCTACTGAATCCACACGTCCCTTAGCTATTTCACTGACACCTGAAATGCAACATGTCCCAAAGCAAATTCTCCAAATCCCCCCTCTTCCCCTGCCTCCCCACAGCTGCTCCTCCTCTTAGCAGTTCCTGACTTTCATTAAGGGTATGTCTGTTCTCTCAGTCACTCAAACTCTAAACTTTGGAGTAATCTTGGGTTCCTATCTCTTTCTTGACACATCAACATCCAAGATGCCAGGCCCTATAGACTCCACCTCCCAAAGTAACTCATATCCATCCCCTCCTCTCCATTTCTGCTGCTGCTTCTCAAGTTCAGACTCTCCTAGCCTATCACAGTGATCTTCTAACCCATCCCCAACCAACAGTCCCTCCCCTACTCCAATGGACCCTCCACAGGGCTGCCAGATTTATCTTTCTGATCATGTCATTTTTAGTGGCTTCCCAAAGCCAACTGCTGAAAGACCAAATTCATTGGCCTTCCATTCAATGCCTTCATGATGTAGGAGCCTAGTAAATATTTGATAAAGGAATCAACTAATCAACCTGGTTGCCACCTCCTGAGTCTCATCTCCCATTGATCCTCCACCAGCCACTGAGTCACATAAACTGGACCATTTACTGCCCCTAAATATGCTATGAATATTCACACCTCCTTTCAATGCTGTTTTAACCTGGGATCACAACACTTTCTGTCTTCCCTGTCCAAACCATACCCATCCTATGTCCCAGATCAAGGAGAAGTAGCCACTCCCTTAAGTGTACAAAGCGTCTGCCACTTTTCACTCTTAAATTTGTTTATCTGTTGCTTCCATGTTCCCTAGCTAGTGTCCAGCTCCCTTCTAATAATGTCATAGGGCAGATGGGGAGGAGACAAAGCTAATTCTCCTACAGTTTCTTCTTTACCTCCCTGAATTAATTCCTCTGTCCACCCATTTGATTCTTTCTGTTCCCTCGCTCCTAGGCAGACACAATTTCAAGCAGCTCTATTGATCCGACAGCTCTGTGGCTGTCAGTCATTTCCTAGTTATTTTCGCTGCCAGTCATTCATACACAAAGGAGTGGCAGGAGGACTCTGAACTTTCCTCTGCATCCAGAGAAAAGGCAGGAAGGACCTGATTCTCTGTGCACACCTGAGATTCAGCAGAAGTAAGAAGCAAGGACCTTCTCCACATGGATCGAGCCACGTGCCCCATGACCCAGACAGGGACTGCCATTCTTCTACTTATGCAGAGGAGGAGAAAAAAGGGGTCCCCTGACCTGCTGTAAAAGGGTGCCCCATCCAGTCCCCTTGGGAAACCAAAATGAGAAGAACTGCATCTCTTCCTGGACTGGAAAGGTCCCATGGAAATCAGATTAAATCAGATAATACTTGTCAGAAGAGGCACTTAGAGTAATAGAATGTTCAATTTGGAAAGATCTACATATATTCGGATAGTATTGTACAACTTTTCAGATACAGTATCTTATTTGAGTCTCTCAGCAGCTCTATAAGGGAAGGGTTGGGGCGGGGGGCTATTATCCTCATCTTACACAGATGTTAAAGTCATTTGTCCAAGTTATTCATGTAAGTAGAGAGCAAAATGGAGTGTTTACCTCCTGCTCTATTGTCTGACCTTCTCAGCCTCCTTCATAGACTTTTCCCTCCCCTTTTAACCCCTTATATCCAAGTGCTCCCAGAGGGGGTATATTTATTTCCATTTCCATTCCTGTTCTACATTCTTTTTTTAATGGCTTTATATACTCCCATAGCATGCGTGGTACATGACTATAGTAAACACTTGATAAATATTTTTCAAACAAATGATTAAATGAATGAATGAAAGAGAGCCAAGGCCCAAAACCTAGCCTTCTGATGCCACACACAGGATCCCTGCACTGCATCATGTTGCCTCTCTGGCACCCTCTTGCATCCCATGTCAAAAGTCCTGCCTAGCATGCCTTCAAGAGACCTTCAGCCTCTGTCCATCACATTCAATTAATAATTAAAACAGCAGGAACAACAGGGATAACTAGGATTTCTTGTGCTTCTAGTGTGTCAGAGACCACTAGATGCTCCATACATGTTTTTTCCTACTTAATACTCTCAACCTGTGAAACAAGCTTTATCAGTCCCATTTTGCAGAAGATGAGGATGAGAGATATTAAATAATTAATGCAAGATCCTATCCCTAGTTAGTGCTGAACCTATTCCATCCAAAGCCTGTCATCCTCTGGCTATACCAGCGTTTCTCCATCTCAGCATTACTGACATTTTGGAGCTGGATAATTATTTGTTGTCCTGTGCATTGTAAGATGCTTAGCAGCACCCTTGACCTCTACCCACTAGATGCCAGTAGCAAACCCTCCCTAAGTTATGACACCAAAAAAATGTCTCCAGGCATTGCTAAATGTTCTATGATGGGGGGTGGGAGGGGAGAATTGCCCTTGTTGAGAACCACTGGGCTATACCATACTGACCACCTCCAGCAGTAAACTATCAAATACCAGAACCAGAGAAAACTTTGAAAAGTAAAAAGTGTTCATTTCCAACATCTAAGAAGAACCTCTAGTTCACCCCTTATAGTGTTTTATTGATTTTATTTATAGTCAGGAAGATTTTCTTACTTCTCAGCTAATTTCTTTCTGTAGCTTCAGTTTATTCTAAAACCTCCTTTCATCCCTCAAGGGATTATCAAATACGACTGGACAGTATGTACCAGTAATAAAGTTATTGGTGATTTGTGGCACAAGGATGAAGCAAAGCTTACCAAATCTTACAGAGGTGGACCTGGATGTCACTGATATGTACTAAAATATATTAATAGTAGAAATAGCCTATAAAAATATAGCATTAGAAATATTAACAACATTCCCTCTCCAGAACCACAAAGTCTTCCCAATACTCCCCCAAAGGCTCCTGAAAAATGATGTGACCAAAAGCCCAGTTCATAATGGGTGAAAGTGGAGGAGATCAAGAAGGGACAACAAGCATTAAATTAAGCATCGTGTTTACACTCTGGAGCATCAAGCATAACTTAAAAAAAAAAAGAGATGTTTTCCTTTGCTGCAAAAGAAAGCTCAGGAAGTAAGAGACTCCTCCCTTTTTAGGTACCTGGCAATGTACAGACTGGGCGGTGACATTTACTCAAGGAATTGCATACCAACATAGATTGTTATTCCCAAATCTCCCTTCTATATGATCTGGACATGACAATAGTTTAAGGTTCCCTGCCTAGATGTGATGGGGTTATTATTTAAGAAAAAAGTTTAAGAAATCATACAGTGAATATAAACAAACCATCACTTAGATTCAATAGCTGCTTATATTTTGCCATGTTTGATTTATATTGTGAGGGGGTGTTTTTTGATTAATCACAAGCTTTTAAAAAGATCCTTTTTCTTACCTCCAAAGAACAAATAACTTCAATGGGGGAGACAAGCCTTCATGTATGGAAAGGCTAAATAACAATACAATACTAATGAAGTGAGAAAATGAGTACAGACAGTGAGTAATTCAAAGGGCTGTCATCGTGAGCTGTGAAAGCTCCCAGAAGAAGGCAGGGATCAAGTCTTAAAGACTGTGTTGGATTTGGAGGGTGCCGGGGTGGTTGATCCAAGGAGACTGTGAATGCAGGAGCCCTTGGGCAGTGTGTGGAGAGCAGCCTGGCTGGAGTTGAGCTGTGAGGCCGACACTTGACCCTGAAGGCACTAGGGGGTTACTGAAGGTTCAAGCACCAAGCAGTGGTGTGATGAAAGTAGTGCTTTAGGAAGTTTAATGTGTCTGCAGGTCCAATTTGGAGTGGGGCTAAGTGAACAGCTTCCAAGGGATGAGAATGAGGGCCAGGAAAGGAGTCCATGGGGGCATATGGGGCCTGGCCTGGGGCCATGCCCTGTGAATGAGCAGCAAGAGCTAACTATGAAAGATAATTCAACAGGGTTTGTTGGAGGAAAGAGAGTCCTCACAGACAATGCCAAGGTTTTAAATATCATGACTGGGAGAGTGAAGGTGTCACTTATAGAATTAAGAAAGTCAAGAGGAAGAGCTAGTTTGGGGAGTTGGAAAGATATACAGAGTTGAGTCTGAGATTGGCTGAAGCCCAAGTAACTGCAAACACTTCAGTTGAAAATGTCTAGATTCACAGAACCAATGCTCAACAGAAGGACAGAGGTAGAAAATATCTCCACATCACTCTTTTCATTTATCTTCTTACTTTTTTTCCTTTGCACCTTAAAGAAAAAGGTTTCTCTGCTGCTTACCAAAGCTAAACTCTTACTTTTGTTAGGGAACCTATTCTTATCTCATTTCTTCAGGTATCAAACTCTACACTCGTTCTAGCCTCCTCAATTTTTCCTCTCCACACATTCTCTCCCTGCCACCTCCAAACCTGCTGTGACTCTAACAAAAAACAAAAATTCCTTTTCTGGATACTAACGTCCCTTCTGGCTAAGCACACACCTCTTTTTCCTTTCACTGATAAACTCTGCAAGTAGCTGATTCCCACTCACCACCCCAAATCCCTCCTCTGAACACCTCTTCTAATCCTGTGCTCCTGGAGTGCACAGGGTCTTTCTTTCATCATGCCCCAGCACTCCTCCTGCTCAACCTGTCTGCAGCCTGTCATCACATCAGAGCCCACACTGACTCCCTGGGGTCTCTAGGATCAAGTCTCCTCTGCTGCCACTTCTGCAATAAGAATTTCTACCCCAAAATCTAACTTTCACCCTTCCCTTTCTTCCTCTACTCCTTCCCTCTGACAGCAGATGCATTCACAAAGCTTCGGCTGCATCCAACCTTCCAAATCAACATCAACAGCCCTAGCCTCCAGCCCATGCTCCTGTCTTGAGTCCCACATTTCCAACTGCTGACAAAACAACTCCATCTGGATTTCCCTGAGTCGCCCCCCCCATGCTTCATGTCCAAAGCTAACAACATTATCTGCCCTGCAAAACCAGGTCCTGTCTTCAACCAGCCCACACCTGTCCATCAGTCAGACACTGTCAGTCCTCTAGGCTCCTCAACCCAGCTACTTCATTTTCCTCATGGGCTTCATTTTCCTCTCCCCCATCACTAGATTATCAACAAGTCCCCACACTTATACCTCTAAAAATGTGTCTCAATGGCATCCCTGACTCCCCATCCTTTCTGCCACCAACCCAGACCAAAGCTCCTCCCCCTCACCTCCAGATCACTTTTGCATCTCCCTAGATTCTACCCTTCTCTTCTCCACTTATTAAATCATATTATCCCAGATTAACCTTTCCAAACACCACATTTTTCATGATGTGTCATTGTTCAAGAATCCATAATGACTCCCTACTGCCCCAGAATCAAATCCAATCTCCACTCTTGTGCTTTCAAGACTCTCCCTATTTGACCCTGCCCCACTTCTCCAATCCTGTTTCCCATTCCTCACTAACCTACATCTTCCTCTATGTCAGCCCAGGCTCTTCAATGCCCAAACTCCCATGTGCCACTGCCCATTCTTCATTCATCCTTCAAGGACCACCCGAAGTTCCACCTCCTCTGTAGTTCTGCCAACTTTTTAACTTATAGCACCACAACGCTTAGCAATAAATCTCTAATTGAACAGTAAATGTCAATCTTCTTCAGAAGTTCTTTGAGGACAGAGACCACTTCGAATATTTCTTTTGTGTTCCACAGCACCGTGGACAGCAGAAGCCTCTAGGGATAATTGAAAAGTTGTTTTTGATTGCTGGTCAATTGGTTTCTGGTCCCAGTTATCAGTTCCCATAACTCCCCTCCTCTGCCTCATAACTATGATCAATAAAATTACTGTAACACACTTTCTCAGGCTTGGAACAGAGAATTCCCAAGAAGACAATCTGGAGTCTACCAATCTAGAATAGTAGGCTGGGTAGGGTGGGATGTCTGTGTCCATGTGCACACAGGGAAGTGAGATTTAGGGAATCTAGCTTAACCAATTGGTCAAGGGATTGAAACACCAAAATGATCAGAAGAGGACAAACAAGGAACCAAAATGACAGAATAATTTGAAACATGCCTAATTAGAAGCACAGTATGCCAGAATTTTGACAAAGCAATTTCCAGTTTGGTCCTTGTGCATACAAAATTTTCCATCAGAAAGAAAGGGGTAACCCTGGTGCTAGGGACTTTGAAAATTTGTTTGAAGCTTTCTCAGTTGTTCAATAGAATACATTTATAATCTATCCAGCCTATCAGGTATAGTGCTATATTCCACAGAGATGGGAAATCAGAAGGGAGAAGGTTTAGAAACATGGCTTTTCTAAGCTTAAGAATCTCCACCAACGCATATGCATATGTTCATTGCAGCACTGTTCACAATAGCAAAGACATGGAATCAACCTAAATGCCCATCAATGGCAGACTAGATAAAGAAAATGTGGTACATGTACATCATGGAATACTATGCAGCCATAAAAAAGAATAAGATCATGCCCTTTGCAGCAACATGGATGGAGGTGGAGGCTGTTATCTTAAGCAAACTAACGCAGGAACAAAAAACCAAATACTTCATGTTCTCACTTATAAGTGAGAGTTAAACAATGAAAACACATGGACACAAAGAGAGGAATAACAAACACCGGAGCCTACTTGAGGGTGGAAGGTGGGAGGACAGAGAAAATCAGAAAAAATACCTATCAGGTACTATGCTTATTACCAAGGTGATGAAATAATCTGTATACGAAACCCCTGTGACACACAGTTTATCTATATAACCCATACATGTACCCCTGAACCTAAAATAAAAATTAACAACAAAAAATAAAAATAAAAAGAAGAAGAAGAATCCCCAGCAAGAGCCTAGGCTAGAGACCAGAAGTGTGGTGACAGTCAGTGAGCCAAGCATAGAGGGCCACACAGGGTGGATGTAGTCCTTGACCTACCCCCTCTTGCAACATGTTACAGGTCATCAGTCATTTCCAGCCTCATGCACCAATGACTTAACCTTTCTCTGATACTAAGTGCACATCAGACTTAGCTCAGCCACTGGGCTGCCCAAGGAGGAGGGAGAATATCCCCAACATAGGAATCCCACAGGAGACTGACCCCAGTCTGCTATTTATTCTGTGATTTGAGCCAGGGTTAGATAATGTGTGCCACACCTTGTGTTTTGAAAGGCCCTGGGAAAAGTAACACATTGGACTATTATTGGCCATTAACACTGTGTGAATTTATTATCAGAAATAAGCAAGCCTCCAGGAACTGAGCTCTGCTACGGGTGCCTGGAACAGAAAATGAACAGGACCTAGTGTTTGGATGATAGGAAAGGGGAAAGAGGAGTGGGCACCAAAAGGTAAAAGTGGAGTCCAGAAAGGGAAGGTGGGAAGGCTCACACTTCAAGATTTTTCCCTCAGAGCTAAGAAAATGCAGACTTTTGCCCCAGTTGGGAGGCAAGGGGGGTCAGCTGGGTTTTTGATTGACTGGTCAATTTGTTTCTAGTCCCAGTTATGAATTCCCATATCTCCCCTCCTCTGCCTCATAATGAGTATTTCTGAATATCACTTAGCCCCCAGAACCACCTTTTCCCTAGATTCCACCTCTTTAGAATCCATGCTTTTGGGTGCTGGGCTGTGTGTGTATGAGAGAGAGAGAGAGAAGAAAGAAAATAGAATCCATGTCTCGGAAGAGGAAGGAGGGAAGGAAGGAGGAAGAAAGAAAAGGAAAGAAGGCTTAGACCTGGGAAGCAGAATAGAATGACAGGGCTCCCTCTGATTTCCCCAGACCCTGGCACCAGCTCCTGTCCTCCAGTTTTTTCCTCTGCACATCAACTAGAGAATGAACATATGAGCCAATCAAGTCTTGACTTCCAAAGCCACAAGTCTCCCCCGCAAAGCACCCCACCCCCTTCCCTAGAGATGACCTCCAGGGCAAGGTAACAGGGTTAGGAAACAGATGGATGTGCAGAGACCCTCCAGAGCTAACCTGACCCCTGACCCCCACCAGTTCATGTCCTCTAATCCAACTTTCCAGAAGGGAGAGCAGATGCATGGGGCCCCGGTAACTTACTGGACTCCTTGGGACAAAGATTCCAGACAAAACTGTTTCAGACATGTGGGGAGATGGGGAGCTACACACAGAAGCTGGTGGAAGCCACAGGTACAGGGAGACGGGGAATCCCTGGCCATCAGAGAAACAGGGCCACAGGTGGTGGAAGATAAGGGTGGTCAGTGCCGGTTCTAGGGAGGGACTGTGTAGCCAGGGAGCAGGAGGAGCAATGGACCCGGGACTTGGACGATGGCAGGGGCGCAAAGAGCTAGAAAGACATCTCAGGGCTCTACACCTCACAGCAAGCAGAGACTTAGTGGGTGTGTATGAGAGGGACGCTAACTCACACTTCCAGGAATGAGTAATTCTTATGAATAGCTCCTCCGTTCCCAGAACTGAAGAGGAGGACAAGGGGGAGGTCCGAGGCGCCCACCGCCCTCCCAGCTGGGTCTGCCTCTCAAGTCAGAGGGACCAGCTCCCCACACGCACCAGGCGAGACCGATGTCTTCCGCCCCACTCCTGTCAGTCTGCAGCCGGCGCGGCTCCGGGTCCCCGCCGCCCCTCTGTGCACATCAGGGCCCCGGGCCCCCGACGGCGAGGAGGGGTGCCGACCCAGGGCGGCCGCCGGGAGCCCCGCTGACAGGCACAGGGGAGGGGGAGCCAAGGGAGGGGCCGGGACGCCGGTAGCCGGAGCGGCGCGCTGCAAAGTGAGCCAACACCGCCCATCCCCGCGCTCTGGGAGAAGGCGGTCCGAGGGGACCGCCTCCCACCTCCCCAACACAGACTCCCGCAACTGGGGTGAAGGCGGAGGGGCGCGGAGTTCCCAGCCCCCACGCCCTCCCCAGACGCAGCCAGCACTGCCATAACAACCAGAATCTCGGCAACTCCAGCCCCGACGCCGAGGGGGCACTGCCCCCCAACACGCACGCGGCAGCAACAGCCCTCCTTCCCCAAACTTGTCCGAGACGCCGCGTCCGAGGCAGTAGCCTTCAGCCCTGGCCCCCCGCGCCCTGCCCGGCTTACCTGTCCGGAAAAAGGCGTCCACGTCCGAGTCTGCTGCTCCTCCTTCCTCCGCTGCTCCCTCAGGGGGGTTCATGACTGTGGGAGGGCGTCCGCGGGCAGCCGGGAGCCGAAGAAGCCTGGGGCCGAGGGCTGCTCGGCGCCCGGTGGGCGGAGGGCGCGGGGCGCAGCTGCTGCGGCCGCAGAGCTGGCGGCCGCGGAGCTTCGAGGGCGGGCGTTGGGCGGCGGGGCTGGGGCAGAGGACGCTGAGCCTCCCTCAGGCGGAGGCGCGCGGCGGGCTGGGGGTGCCTGCCGCCAGCTCCCCCATGGTACCCCTTCCCCAGGGCGCTGGCCGCCTGCTGTCTGGCTGGGGCCGGGGCCCGGGGCCGGGGTGCGGGCTGCCTGGGCGCCCGCTGTCCCCCAGCAGCGGCAGCTGGCTCTCCTGCTCGCCCGTCTGCCTGTCTCTATTGTTCAGCCCTGCTCCGCTCTCTCCTCTTTATTTTTCCTCCTCCCTCCCACCCTCCCTGTCTCCCTACCTCCTCCCTCCCTCGCTCACTCGCTCACTCGCTACCTCCCTCCTTCGCTCGCTCGCTCTCTAGCTCCCCCTCTGGCTCCCGCCGCCGCCGCCGCCGCAGCAGCCGCCTCCCCAGCTCCTCCCCCGGCTCCCGCTCCCTCAGTCCCGGCCAACAATGACCCCGGGAGCGCCGAGCTGAATTGAAGCTCCGGCCGGGGCCGAGGGCTCGCTGCGGGCCCCCGGCGGCGCCTACGCCCCCAGTCCCAGCGGCCCCGCGCCGGCCTCCCGGGGAGCGGAGCCCGAGTCCCGAGCTATTGTTCGAGGCTGTGCTAGGCCGGCTTCCTGAGCTCCGCAGGAAAAGCCCGGGCCAGGGAGGGGGCGGGGCCGCCGGGCGAGCCCGGGGCTGCAGGGCACACGCCAGGCTTGTCCAGGGGGCTCTGCGGCCCGGGCGCTGCGCGCTCAGCTTCTCCGCTCGCGCCGCCGGTGCTCCTCCCGGCCCCGCGGCCACCTCCTCCGTCCACTCCACTCCCAGGTGTGTGAGGGGACCACCAGGCTGCCCGCCCGCCTTCTCTGGATCTTCAGATCGGTCTCCAAGCTGGACTGACCTGTCCCTAGAGGCCGGCCTTTCTTCCCCTCCTTCCTGACGAGCTCTCTTCTGTCTCCCTGCCCTCCTGAGCCTCTCACATTTTCCTCACCAGCTCGCCACAGTTTCTCTCCTTTTTATCTTTTCTCGTCCTTTTCCCCTTTTCAGCGCCCCTTTAAACATCTCCGCCTGTCTCTGTGACTCTTTGTCCAGTTTAATGCTCCTGTGATGTCTCCCTGCCTATCTCTCCCTCCCTCCGTCACTCTCTTGTCCCTCGTTTGTCTCTGTCCTGCCTCCGTACTTGGCCCGTATCTCCGCGCTCCTCTTGGACAGCTGTCAAAACTCTCTAATCCCTGGGGCCTTCTCGGTTTTGTTCTCCCTCATGTGAATGGAGAGATCCAGTTGGCCAGGAGGAAGGAGGTGTTACAGCAAGCTGAATTTCAATTAAAGTGGGGAGAGGGGCTGGGGAGGAATGGGGATGGCTGCAAAAAAGAAAACAGATGCTGTATGGGGTAATTAATGCGGTGATTGTATTGTGCCCATCAGTTTTTAAGCAATAATTAAACAATAATTAGCCAGTAGTGTGTTTATGGTTCTAGTGACTACAGAGCCCACCAAACAGAGGGTCTTTAAGACCTGAGTACTTAATAAGGTCTGCTGAGCGCTGTTCGCTGTTGCCTCATCCAGACAGATGGAGAAGTGGTGGCCTGACCTAATGTGTTAAAACACGCCTAATAGGAAAACCAGGTACTGGTCTGAAGTTAATGACTGCAACCCATCAGACAGAATCTCCTGGATCTGTTTGTCTCTAGTAACCTGTTTGGTTCCACCTCTCTCTGGGGGCCAAGGCAACTGGGGCCTATGCAGATCCACCAACTGTGTAAACTTGTAGCAAATAAAATGAATTAAATTAGTTTTTAGTGAACACTTTCTGGCTCCCTGTACGCATCACGTTCTTCACTGACACAAACAGTCTAATTTTTTTTCACCCATTAAAAAAAAGTACCTGTTTCCAACCTTGGATACACCTATCAGACCTGTCTCCAACCTTGAGTACATCTATCAGACCTCTGTAGTGACTCTGACATCACAAGTTCACTGCCCTGAGATCTAATTCATCTGGCCCTAGTATCTTGAACTGGCTTAAGATGCCCCTTTGCCTATGCCTTTTCTGACAATGAAAATACTTCTCATTTGTCTTTTCAAAATCTTCCTTCCCCTTAATCCTTTGCCTAACCCCTGGTCTGCTCCCCTACCCCCGCACACACATATGTGATGGCAGAGCTGCTATTAATTAATTGCCACCATTGTGCAGCTAAAGAACCAGTGGCCTGGCAAGGCATTAGCTCATCACAATTCAGAAGAAACATTACATGTTTAGAGGAAGGGTCATATCAAAATCTCAAGATATAGACAAGAAAGGGGGAACACCTTATGTAATGACACAAACTTTTTTTGAGAGGAAATTTGGCAACTTCTATTAAAATGTTAAGTGTTCATGGCTATATTAATATCAAAGAAGACTTCAAAGCAAAGAATATTACCAGGGATAAAGAGGAACATTTCAATTCATCAAGCAGACGTAACAATCCTAAGAGTGTTTGCACCTAATAAGATAGCTTCAAAGTACATGAAGCAAAACTGATAGGATTGCAAGGAGAAATATAAAAATTTATAATTATAGTCAGATAATTTAATATCTGTAAAATGCAGTAATTAATAGAATAAGGAGACAGATCATCAGTAAAGATATGGAAGACTTGAACAATGTTATCAACCAACCTAACCTAACTGACATTTATAGAATATTCCACTCCATAACAGCAGATACACATTTTTTCAAATGCACAGGTAGCATTTGTCAAGATAAACCATACACTAAGCCATAAAACAAATCTCAATAAATTTAAAAGGATTAAAATCATGCAAAGAGGTACATAAATTATACCTAAGTTGGTTTTTAAAAAAAAATCAGAGTATGTTCTCTGACCACAATAGAATTAAACTAGAAATCAATAACAAAAAGAATCTAGAAAAACCTCCCAAATATTTGGAAAGTAAATAACACACTTCTAAATAACACATGAGCTACTAAGAATTCAAAGGATGGGCTGGGCACCATGGCTCATGCCTATAATTCTAACACTTTGTGAGGCTGAGGCCAGGGGATCACCTGAGGCCAGGAGTTCAAGACCAGACTGACCAACAGGGCAAAACCCATCTCTACTAAAAATACAAAAATTAGCCGGACATGGTAGCGTTTGCCTGCAATCCCAGCTACTCTGGTGGCTGAGGCATGAGAATCACTTGAACCCAGGAAGCAGAGGTTGCAGTGAGCCAAGATTGTGCCACTGCACTTTAGCCTGGGTGACACAGTGAGACTTTGTCCCCTGCCACCCCCACCAAAAAAAGAATTAAAAGGGGGATATTAGAAAGAATCTCAAAGTGAATAAAAATGAAAACACATTACATAAAAATCTGTGGGATGCAGCTAAGGCAGTCTAAATCTGTGGGATGCAGCTGAAGCAGAAAGACATTTATAGTGCTAAATACCTATTTTGAAAATAAAGATCTCCCATCAATAAGCTCCTATTCTACTGTAAGAGCAAACGAAATCAAAGTGGAAGAACAGAAATAAAAAAGATCAGAGCAGAAGGCAATAAAATAGCAGGAAAACAAAAGAAAAAAATCAATGAAACTAAAGTGGGTTCTTTAAGATCAATAAAATAAAAAAACCTCCACCCAGACTGATCAGAAAATAAGAGAAAAATCTCAAATTACTGCTAGCAGGAATGACAGAGGTAACATCACTACAAATTCTATAAATGTAAAAATAATAATAAGGGAATATTATGAACAACTTTATGCCAACAAATTTGACAACTTTCATAAGATGGACACAAACTACTAAAGTTCACTCAAGGAGAAATTGCTAACTTAAATAGCTATTTATCTACTATAGAAATTAAATTTGTAGCTTAAAAGCTTTCCCCACACACACCCACACACAAAACAACTCAAGATTCACATGGGTTTTTTGGTAAATTTATGAAACATTTAAGGAAGAAATAATATCAATTCCACAAAAACTCTTCCAGAAAAGTGAAAAGGAGGAAATATTTCCCAACTACTTCTATGAGGCCAGCATTACTCTGATGCCAAAACTAAACAAAGGCCATATAAGAAAAAAAATGTAGACTACTTCCTTAGGAATATTTATTAGGAATAAAATTTTTAATAAAATTTTAGCAAATAAAATCTACAATATATAAAAAGGATAATACATCATAACCAAGTGGGTTTATCCCACATATACAAGGTTGGTTTCACATTTGGAAAACTATTCAATGTAACTTACCACATGATATGGGTTGAATTGTATTCTCAAAAAAGGTATGTTAAAGTCCTAACCCCTGGTAGCTGTGAAAGTGGCCTTATTTGGAAATAAGGTGTTTGCAGATATAATCAAATTTGGAATGTGGTCACTAGGATGGACCCTAATCCAATATGACTGGTGTCCCGATAAGAAGAAAAAAAAATTCCATATGAAGACAGAGAAGACAGAGACACATAGGGAAAAATGCCATGTAATGGCAGAGGCAGAGATTGGAGTGACGCAGCAGCAAAGAATACCAAGAATTGACAGCCACCACCAGAAGCTAGAAAGAGGTAAAGAAAGATTCTCCCCAGAGTCTCAGAGGGAGCATGGCCATTCTAACACTTGATTTCAGACTTCTTCTCTTCAGAACTGTGACAGAATAAATGTCTATTATTTTAAGCTACCCAGTTTGCACTACTTCGTTACAGCAACCCTAGGAAACCAATATACCATATTTAAAAAGCAATACAAGTCCGAGTATGGTGGCTTACGCCCGTAATCCTAGCACTTTGGGAGACCAAGGTGGGCAAATCCCTTGATCCCAGGAGACTGAAACCAGCCTGGGCGACATGGCATAACCCATCTCTACAAAAAATACAAAAAGTAGCCGGACATGGTGGCATGAAAGTCAGATCATGTCTCAAAAAATAAAATAAAATTTAAATTTAAAAAAGCGATACCATGTGATCATCTAAGTAGATGCAGGAAAATAATTTGACAAAAATCCAATATCCATTTCTGAACAAAACTCTCAGCAAACTAGGAATAGAAGGGGCTCTCTTAACTTAATAAAGGACATCTACCAAAAATCTATAGTTAACAGCAAGCTTTTTCCCTAAGATCAGAAGAAGGTAAGATGTCTACTCTTACCCCTATTCAATGTACTGGATGTACAGTGCAATAAGAAAAAGAAATTAAAGGCACCCAGATTGAAGAGGAAGAGGTAAAACTGTCTGTATTCAAAGATGGTATGATTGCTACTTAGAAAATTCCATGAAATATATATTTCTTAAACTAGTAGATCTAATAACGAGTTTAGCCAGATTTCAGAGTATAAGACCAATATAAAAATTAAATTGTATTTCTATAACCTAACAATGAAGATTTAGAACTTGAAATTTTAAAACATCACTATAGTAGCATGGAAATAAAAATTTGAAGGCTTAGCCTGATTTTTAAAATATGTAAGACTCATACACTCAAAGATAAAATACATTGCTGAAGGAAATTAAAGAAGATCTAAGTAAATGGGGAGAAATACTGTGTCATGGAATTTTGCAAAGACTCAAAATCCTTAGGACATTAATTTTTCCCAAACTGATCTTAGATTCAATGAAATCCCAATAGGCTCTTTTGTAGAAATTTATAAGTTGATTTGATGAACAGAACCTAGAAAAGCCAAAACAACGAAAGAGAAGAGAGTTGGAGGACTTACACTACCCAATTTCAAGACATTTATGAGGCTATAGTAATCCAGACAATGTGGTATTGGTGTAAAGATAGACAAATAGATTGATGGACTAGAATGGGGTCCAGAAACAGACCCATATGTATATCATCAATTGCTATTGTTGATTTTCAATTATAAAAAAAATCAAAGGGAATTCAGTATAAAAATGGTAGTCTTTACAAATGGTGCTTGAACAATTGAAAAATCTGTATTAGTTTTCTATGACTGCTGTAAAAATTTACCACAAACTTCGTAGCTTAAAACCACACAATTGGCCGGGCTCGGTGGCTCACGCCTGTAATCCCAGCACTTTGGGAGGCCAAGGCGGGCGGATCACGAGGTCAGGAGATCGAGACCACGGTGAAACCCCGTCTCTACTAAAAATACAAAAAATTAGCCGGGCGCAGTGGCGGGCGCCTGTAGTCCCAGCTACTCGGGAGGCTGAGGCAGGAGAATGGCGTGAACCCGGAAGGCGGAGCTTGCAGTGAGCGGAGATCGCGCCACAGCACTCCCGCCTGGGCGACAGAACGAGACTCCGTCTCAAAAAAAAAAAAAAAAAAAAAAAAAAAACCACACAATTTTATTACCTTACAGCTCTAGAAGTCAGATGTCTGAAATGAGTCCCACTGGGCAAAAATCAAGATGTTAGCAGGGATGTGTCATTTCTGGAGGATCTAGGGGAGAATCCACTTCTTTACTTTTTCTAGCTTTTAGAGGACACCCGCATTTTTTAGCTTGTGTCTCCCTTCCTCCATCTCCAAACCAACAATGATGAGCCAAATCAGTCTCACACTGCCATCTCTCTGTGTCCAGAATATATAAACAACTCTCAGACCTTCATGATAAGAAAACAAACAACCCAACTTTTAAAATTGGGCAAAAGATTTGACTAGACACTCACTTTAGAGATATACAGACAGCAATAAGCATTTGAGATAATGCTCAATACTATTAGTCATGAGGAAAATGCAAACTAAAAGCTCAATGAGATGTGATGATTTATTGGAATGTCTAAAATTAAAACGCCTGAACATATCAAGTGCTGGTGAGGATGAGGAGAGGATGCAAAAACGGAACTCTCTTACACTTCGAATGCAAAATGGTACAATTACTTCAAAAAACAGTTTGGCAGTTTCTTAACTAGGTAAACATACACTTACCATGTGACACAGTCATTCCACTCTTGGTATTTACCCAAGAAAAATAAAAGCATATATCCATGTAAAGATTTGCACACAAATGTTCATAGCAACTTCATTTATAATAGCCAACACCAGGAAGTGATCCAAAAATCCATCAACAAGCAATCAGATAAACAAATTGTGATATATCTATACAATGGAATACTATGCAGGACTTGGATGAATCTCAGAATAATTATGGAGCGTGAAAGAGGTCAGACAACAGAGAGTATATTCTAGGTGATTCCATTTTTATAAAATTCTAGGAAATGCAAAGTAACCTATACTGACAGAAAGCAGATCAGTGATTGTCTGGAGATGACCAGAGTCGGAGACTGGGAGCTGAAGGGAGAGAGAGGGGAGTTATAAATGGGAACGGCATAACTTTTGGAGGCGATGGATATGTTCTTGACTGCAGTGATGGCTTTTATGGCTGTATGCTTATGTCAAAACTGATCAAATTGCACACTTTAAATACATGCAATTTGTCAAATGTCAATTATACCACAATAAAACTGTTTTAAAAATCAATTTTTTAAGTAAATGGGATAAAGCTACATGTGCTTACAAGGAAATACCAGTTATCTTGAGGGGACTTTTATAGTCCATAAAATATTTAAATTTTCATAATGTGGATTCTTTACAATGATGTGAGAGAGAGAGACAGGGAGAAAATCATCAGCTGGAGAAACTTTTTCCCATGATGCATAAGAATGCCAGAGTGGAGGAAGGAAGAGCTATGTTCAGGTCTATGTATTTAGAAACAGCTCCCAAGGCATCTTGACATACACCCCCTTTGCTCCGCCCCTACTCAGAGATTTAAAGGAAGGAAGGGACAGGATGGGATAAGATGGAAGAAGTGTTTTCAGAAGGTAGATGAGCCTAGGAGACTGGAAGAAGGAGTTCGGAGTCCAAAGAATAGTGTAGAAGTACTTCAACGAAGCTGTGGCTGTGACTGAAATGGAAAGCTGTGGAAGGCAATGAGAAAGGAAACATAATAGCATGTGTTGATGCCTTATATATGGAGAGAAGCAGGTGTGGGCAGGAAAGAGTGAGCCAGGGTGAGCAGGAGTCCAAGAACCACTAGGTAACCGAGAGAAAACAACGGCATAACAGGAAAAATCGGCTTCTAAAGGAGAAATTTTTCCTCTAGAGAGAGAGGAGAAAACAATCTGGGGAAAGATGAGGAAAGTGATTAAAATATTACTTAATCGAACCCCTCATTTCAACAACAAGAAGATTGAAAAGTAGAGAGTAAAGTGACTTGCCTGAAGATCCACAGCAGACCCCAGAATTCATGAGTCCTAGGCGGGTTCCCATGGTGTTTCCCTATCACACACATTTCCTCACCTATGTTAGGAGTCTGAAGTGATGATGGGCATCCAGGTGGTAATGTCCAATCAGCAATTAGTAATGTCCAATTACTATGGTGATGTCCAATTGGCAGAGCAGCTGAGAGAGGGCTTGGCAGCTGGGAATATTGATTAAGGAGCTAAGAGCTGGTTGAAGCACCAAGAACGAATGAGATAAAAGATTTTCTATCCACTTCCATTAACTTTCCTCTTTGGATGAAATTATCTATCTGTATATCCTGCTTTCTACTCAAATCAAACGTGCCTTAGAACCAGCACCTCTCCCCACTTTTCCGACTTCTTTATTCTAATTTCACAGACTAGAATCTGAAAGACTTCTGGGGTTCCTCCCCTTCCTCCACTTCCTGCATCCATGCTATCATTAATCCTGTGTTTTCCTTTGAGAGAACATCCGTTGCCCTCTTTTCCCTCTAATGCCATCCTAGCCCAGCCTTCAGCTCTATGGTCTTGAATTTCTACAACAGCTTGCCAACTGGCCAGGCAAAGTGGGGAAGTGAAGCCAATGACTGAAAGAAACAATAGGCCAGAGAGACAAGTCACAGGAATATGTCGGCCATGTAGACTAGGGGAAAGGGTGTTAGGAGTGAGACAGGGGTCAAACAGGTCAGATGCCACAGGGAAGTAAGGGGCAGAGAGGATTAAGACATGGAGACAGAATTTGGGTAAGTGGCAGGTTTTAAGCGAGCTTCAGTAGAGAAAGAGGAGCATAGAACTGGGTTATAGGAGACAGTGTGTGGTGAGGGAGCAAAGCAAAGGATAGAACCGTACCACAGGCAGGACAGGGGCCAGTGTGTGGTGAGGGGATGGAAGCAGCAAAGAGGAATTATCTTTTCATGAAGAGTGAGCAGTGAAAAAGAAAAGAAGGGCCGGGCGCGGTGGCTCACGCCTGTAATCCCAGCACTTTGGGAGGCCGAAGCGGGCGGATCACACGTTCAGAAGATTGAGACCATCCTGGCTAACATGGTGAAACCCTGTCTCTACTAAAAAATACAACAAAAATTAGCCAGGCGTGGTAGTGTGTGCCTGTAATCCCAGCTACTGGGGAGGCTGAGGCAGAATGGCGTGAACCAGGGAGGCGGAGCTTGTAGTAAGCCGAGATCGCGCCACTGCACTCTAGCCTGGGCGACAGAGCGAGACTCCTTCTCAAAAAAAAAAAAAAAAAAAAAAAAAAAAAAGAAAGAAAGAAAGAAAAGAAGACAGTAGCTAGACAGGATGATCAAGTTTCCAAATGTTTATTTTTTTCTGTTGTTTTCAAAATGGAGCAGCTGTGCATAGCTAAAAAGCTGAGGGAAAGACACAGCAGAGAGAAAAAGAAAGGAATAGAGAATTCTGAAGCCAGAAGAATATCAGCATCACTCAGATCGTGGAAGGGTGGGTGTCTTCCCTGCTGAAGTGAGCAGCTGGCACCCTGAAGGGTGATCTGCATAGAGGAAGCTGGTGGAAGATATTTGGGTCTCAAATCTTGATTCCCAGCCCTCAGTCCATACTGCACAGGAAATTTCTAACAGAAAGCTGTTTCCTTTGTCACACTATTTTCTGTTTAGAGTGAGGACAGGAAATAATCTGTCCTCTTCTTTTAACAATTCCAAGGGAATGCCAAAACATCCCCTGGTCTTGGCCTTGCTTGATATACAGTTGTGACAGCCCCAAAGTTCTTCCTGACCTCTACTCTTAATCTTTCCTGCTGCAGTGGAAGCCCATTCACTCTCATCCTGTCTTTGGGGGAAGCATGTGGTGACCAAAAACCTGCCTGAATGAGGAAATCTCCAGGAGGTAAAATCATGTCAATTTCCTACAGATCCTCAGGAAGTTGCCCTTACAGACGCCACACTCATGTTCCCTGTCAGCCTTCACCTATTCGGAAGAGATGGGAGAACTCAACAAACTAAAGAACACTCAAATACGCCTCAGTTTCCACTGGCATTTTAAAAGAAAGACCCCCTTAGTCATCTCAGAGATGCAGGTCCCAGGAAGCGAGAGGAATGATGCAGCTAATAAACTAAAACATATCTTAAGCTACCCACAAAGAGTTAGGTGTACTCAAGAAGTGGCCAGACACACAATCCAGTCATCCCAGGAAACTCTCTGTCACCAAGTGGCCCCAAGGAGGAGTGAGGTTTCCTTTCTGAAGTCATCCCACGAGACTAGGAGGATCTGCCAGGCATCCTGAAGGACGTGTCATGCAGCAAGTGACAAGAAAGGACCAAGATGTGAAAAAGAAAGTGAGAAACAGGGAAGTTATGATGAAAAAGGAATAAAGACAAGCGTGGAGGAAAGATGGTGATATGAAGACAAAAAGAAGAAACACAGACAAAGAGCATGCTCAAGGGAAAGAATCTCTTTCTGCTGTTCACTTAGAGCAGGGGACTTGTAAGTAAAGTTGTATGAGAACAAAGCTGTGCGCATTCATTTACTTAGTGTTTATGGCTACTTTTGTGTTACAAGGGCAGAGTCAAGTAGTTGCAACAAAGACCATTTGGCCTACAAAGTAAAAAATATTTACTATCTGGCACTTTAAAAAAATGTTTGCTGACCCCTGACTTAGAGTAATAACAACCTTATAACTTCCCCTAATACTGACAGGCTCTCTGTGGTTCTTCAACTACTCTTCAGAATGGTTGTTTTCTTCAGAAACTATTACCCTGAAAGAAACCAAAACTGGAGCCAAGCAATGGTAAAATTAATCAGAGAGCTGTAGCTTAGACAGTGACCAAAGTAAAATCACTCCAAGATACAAAAGAAATTGCCAAGCTAAAGAACAAGTCTGACTCTCAAAAAGACTGCTATAAAGACTTGGAACCAACCCGAATGCCCATCAAAGATAGACTGGATAAAGAAAACGTGGCACATATACACCATGGAATACTATGCAGCCATAAAAAAGATAAGTTCCTGTCCTTTGCTTGGACATGGATGAGGCTGGAAACTATCATTTTCAGTAAACTGACACAGGAACAGAAAACCAAACACCACATGTTCTCACTCATAAGTGGGAGTTGAACAATGAGAACACATGGACACAGGGAGGGGAACATCACACACCAGGGCCTGTCAGGGGTTGGGGGGGCGAGGGGAGGGATAGCATTAGATGACGGGTTGATGGGTGCAACAAGCCACCATGGCACGTGTATACCTATGTAACAAACCTGCACGTTCTGCACGTGTATCCCAGAACTTAAAGTATAATAAAAAAAAAAAACTACTATATTGACAATAAAATAAGGTCTCAATGTCTATCCAGAAAAAAAAAATACTGCTATAGATGGAAAATATATTTAGGGGAGGAGGGAGTATGTCTGTGTGTAAAATATGATTTTAGATTCATAAATACTAATCAGAAATATATAGAAAAATATATATGTATACTTCTGATTAGCATTATGTTTCTGTATATTTTTTCTCCTGATTATTAGTTAATAAAGCTAAAATCACAATTGTTTCATGCTGAAAGGTTGATATTATATAGTACCCAAGGAAAATAAAAGAGTCAATCAGTATAATATATAAATAATAATGCAAAATTGAAATATAGATAAGAGGTAAATTTGAGAGAAAGAAAAAGCTGTGTTTCTGTCATGTTCTGATACTGACATAAAGGTACAGGTTTGAAAGTGGCATTTTTAATACAACTATCCAAAGTTCTTTCCCCCCACCGGCCCCTGTAGAAACAGGGTCTCCCTATGTTGCCTAGGCTGATCTCAAACCCCTGGGCTCAAGCGATCCTCCTGCCTTAACCTCCCAAAGTGCTGGGATACAGGCATGAGCCACCACACCCAGCCTATCCAAGGTTCTTGATAACATGAGACTGAGGAGGGAAGCAGATGGGAGTAAAGGATGAACACTATCCCATGAAGCATGAAACAGGCTGATCTGGAGCTTTTGCAGAGAAATTAAAGAGACAGGTTAAAGCCACATATCTCCAGCATTTGGCACCTGTTTTCCCACTATTTTCTTCAGATGACTTCTACCCACACCTGTAAAGCTATCCCATCCTATCCCATCTTGTCCTGCCCCCTCCTCAACACACACACACACACACACACACACACACACACACACACACACACACACACCTGCTTCATTCCAGGCACAAGATTCTGCTCTTAATTCTCTCATTTATCCAGCAATCCTTGCCCTGTCCTCATCTCTAGGCTTCTGCTCAAAGGCACAGACCCTGCTAGGTACCTACCCTAAATCCATTCTGCCCCGCCTTGTTACTAACAGAACTATAATAATATTCAGGAGGGCAATATGTCCAGCTACGATGTTCACCTGCCCAGACTCCTTTGCAGCTAGGGGTGGCCATGTAACCTGTTTCTTATCATGAAATACAAATGAAGAAAACGTCTGCTAGGGATTTGGGGAAAATTTTTGCCCTTCTCATAACAGGCTCCACCTTCTCCCCACCCTTCCTTCCTTTCTTTCCTTCTTCACTTTCTTTCCTATCCCTTTTTCTTTCTCCTTTTTCCTGCCTTGTGCACAACATAAGGCTTGAGGTGGAGCAACCATCTTGGGAACACAGATCAACAAAGCCACAAGCTAAGGATGGTGGAGCAGAAAGAGAAAAGAAGCCTAGGGCATTGATGGCTCATTGAAGTTCTGCATTAGCCTTGGGCTTCTTGTATACGTCTCTGTTTAGTTAAGTCCCTTTAGTCAGGTTTATGTAGTGAGTGGCCTAATGCAACTAATTCCCATGCCCTTACTTTCCCTTCTACCTGGAAAGAAATTCTCCCCACCCAATAGCCAACTTTTGAAGTCCTGTACTTTCTTCAAAGCCCACCTTAAATCCTACCTCTTTCAGGTGGACATTCCACAATGCCTCAAAATCAACCTCCCTCTCTCTTGTAGTCATACAGGGCACAACTAAAATCATTAAAATAGTATACCAATATGCTTCATATCATAAATATTCATGTCTGTTTATTCATACATCCTATCCCTAGACTGAGAGCTACTAAGGGCAAGGATCCTTTTTCACTCATTTTGAATGCCCTGCAGCCCCCAGCACAGTGCCCAGAGCAGTCACTCAGTAAAGGATTGTTGAATTTCTTAGACTGCACAAATGTTCCTTCTTTCCCAAGTGTATGCTATGGATCATATTAAAACACCTGGCTTCTATGTAGGTGGGATGGGAAAGTAAATAATTAGGAAAATAAACTTTAGAAATCCTAGTCATGTTTGACCATGTTTTGACAGTTCGAAACTGTGTGGCCCTGCTGCTGACTAATTGCCCAGACATACACAGTAAGGTCAAAAGAAGGGACAGAAATGAGAATGTATAGAAGTCCAAAACTGGTCTATATATCATCAAACTAGTATGCTGGTTTCATCAAACTCAACTTCAAACCGGTATCTATTAGAGGCTGATTTGTATCAAAAGTAGTTAATATAACTTATTACATTGTAATTCCAGTTACACTTATACTACTTATTTAATGCATTTCTTTTGGTTGACAAAAATTTATTGGCCATCTATTATGTGCCAAGTCCAGGTGACCAGCCATCCGTGGTTATCTGTGACTGAGCAATTTCCTGAGACACAGGAATTTTCAGTGCTGAAGCTAGGAGAGCTCCAGGCAAACCAGGATGGTTGGACACCAAAGAAGCTCCGAGCTTGATGCTTGATATAAAGTAGTAAAAAATGTAGATGTTGTCCCTGCCCACGTGGAGCTCTACAATATAGTTGGTTCTTATTTGGTGTTCTTAGCAAGTTTGCATCCTGTAACTGTGTTTTCAAATCATACATGTTAGAGTTTATTTAACAGCAATCAAGGCCATCCAACTCTTCAGGTGCTAACACCATAAATCTCCATAGTACAGTTGGCTGTGTGTGTGGAGGGAAGAAGAAGAACTTTGGAACAGGAGGGTAAGCCGAAGTTCAGTTCATTAATGTGGTCATTGTTCTACCAGCTGTGAATTCCAACCAACTTTAATCACAGCTGGAGCCGGTTGTCTGTTGTTCTCAGATCAGCAGACATGCTCCATCTTCAGGTTCTCAGCCCTCTTTGTGATACTAATTTTGACCTGTTGGTGGGACTGCAGCTTCTTTGGAAAGGACCAGGAAATGTCAACTTTTCCTGGGGGAATGTGGAGGTAATCTGATGGTGGCATCTGCTGTTATGGCCACCACAGCTTGCTGGAGCTGACTTTTTCTTCATCATTTTCTTCCATATTCACTCTTCCTATAGCTGGGTTCTGGGCCCTCCCATTTTTGGCATCTGGATGACCTATTTCCCCTTTTAGAATGCCAGTCCTCCCAGATAGATAATACATACTTCTGAGCTTAATAATCTGAAGATCCTATCCTTCCATAGGAGCCACCTACTCAACAAAGACTGAAGGTCCTGGTTCCTCATGGAGTATTTCTCACTCTGTGGCAGAACTTTTCTCGCTAATCTCCAGCCTTCACCTCTGCTAGGCTTTCATAACAACTTCCATTGATTTTCTACTATTGGCTGGGCATTTTTGCATCCATTATTTTATTTAAACTGGACAACAACTCAAAGTAGATATTGTTATCCTCACTTCCAGATGAAGAAACTGCAGGGCAAAGAAGTTAGGGAACTTTCCCTGGGTCACACATTATAAATGGACAGAGTAGAAATTGAATCTCACTCTATCAGACTCTTTTCTGAGAGTTGACTTGATGACCTGGAAGGGAACAGATCTTGTATGCTTGAAAAGAGCTTGTATCTCTTGGACGCTTGAAAATAAGTGTGAGGAAGATTTCAAGGGAGAAGTAATTTTGTGTCTGTTGACTTCTAAATTTTGCTTAGTGAGGGGGTGGGTGTGCCAGGGAACACTGCAAATCAGGGAGAAAGGCCTGACAAAAACCCTAGTTTACTGCCTTGCGCTAGATCAAATGTTAGTTCATACCTATATGTGAGTTTGTTCTTTGAAGCAATAAGAAATTAACTTTAAAATGGTCTCAGGAGGTTTTTAAAGGACAGATTTTCAACAAATAAAACTAAAATGCTTAATTTCATTTCCATGGAATTTTTATGACAAAGATGCTTTCAGTGATCTGGAGCCACTCTTTAAAAAGATAGAGACCAAGGAAGTTGGAGAGTCTTATCTTTTATATTGAGGCAGCCTCAACATTGAGGCACAGCATTGAAGGTCTCAGAGCCTGACCTCATCACTACCTACCATTAGCACAGTGGTCAGGATAGTCAAGGGATCCCAGAATGAGCATTTACAAATGAGGAAAATGACGCCTATAGCAATATGTCAACAATGTCTGGCAAACAGCCTGGTTTATAATAGGTGCTCAATAATTTTATTGAATAAGGGAATAAAGAAAAAAATAAATGAAACAAGAGATTTTCCAGAAGGTCACACAAACAGGGACAAAAAATCCAATGTTCTAAACCCTCACACCATCTCTTAATCTAGTTATATCATCCTCTGGGTGAGCCTAGCCCACTTTAAAATGGATATTCAGATGTCGGAATGAATAGAGCAGTGTGCCTGACTTAAGTAATATCAAAATTTTAATTAGAGATGTGGAAAAGATGGAGTCGATGAAGCTCCCCTGTTATCCAGAGACCATGACCATTCCGGGTGGTTGGTTTCGTTTCTAATGCACATCTGCTCCACCTCACCAATTGCTTTGCACAATATGAGTTCACATTACAAAGTCAACAATTCTTTATCATCTGCGTGGTCAGTCACCCTTTTGTTGTCCCTCCCTTGTAATTGTTTAATCTGGCCTCCCCTGCCACATTTCTTGGCTGCCTACTCTCCCCGCTCCTGTCAGTCAGGTTGTACTCAGGGAAGGCAAATGCACAGAAAAAGTCCAGAGTCAATTAGAACTAATTAGGTGTTTCATCTGCTGCTTTGGATTATCCGTGCCCTCTATAGACACACAGCATAGGCTGGTTGAACAACCACTCCTGGATTGGGGAGCATTCTAAGATTCACACACAGCTTCCTATTGTCTATGCTAATGGAGGTAAAGGCTGGTGTGAATGTACAACAGAGACATTTAAAAACCAAGGTATAGTTCACACTCATTTTCATTGTACATTTTAGTGAGTGTTTACAACTTTATATAACTGTCCGACCATCACTACAATCAAGGCATAGCATACTTTCAACATCACAAAAAGTTTTCTTGTGCCATCTCAGCCAATCTGCCCCCACCTTAGTCCCAAGCAACCACCAGTCTGCTTTCTGTCACTGTAGATTAGATTTGTCTTTTGTAGGGTTTCACATAAATGGAACCATGGAGTACATATTCACAAGCTATTTTTACTTGACTTTGGAATGGTTTCTCCAATTTCCTTCCCAGTGATGTCTGGTTTAGGCTGATATTAAAATGTGTTCATGTTCCCTACATCCACACTGATTTGACAGGGTGGGCAGAGCTGGGACATGGAAGAAACGTGAGAGGCAAGACGTGGAGGCTGATGAGCATAATTATTGGCAATGAGAAGAATGTTGGCTCTCCCCAGTATTTGTAGAATATGACAAAGCGGTGTGCCCATGTTGTGCCCTGAACCTATTTTCAAGGTCATTCAATACAGAGTCTCCTAAATTTAACTACCTAGGAATTGTGTCTTGCTTTGAATGGACATTTGGAAACTCCAGACTCTAGCCAGCCCCTCTCAGCCACGGAGTCATTGCTCCCCCTGGTGTAAACACAGAGATTTTTTACCCTGTGTCAGGCATTCCCACCACCGCAGCCCTCCCTGGACCACAAGGAGCCAAGGGCAGGCAAGAAAGCTTCAGGCTCCCTCTGGCTGTTGTTAGGTTCCTGGGTCAAAGGCTGAGTTTGTGAACACAGAGAAACACTAAGAGATCAACCGCTTGAGAGAGGACAGGAACAGAGAGAAGGGAAACCCCAGAGACAGAACTAGCTAGACATGCAAGATAGAGAGGTGAGGGGGCAGAGGCACAGCCCAAAAAACAAAGCAAGAAGCGATAGAGGGATGGGTTTTTTCCTCCATTTATGAAACATCCTAAAAATTTACTCCTCTGCCCAAAATAGATTCAGATCCAGGATATGAGAATCCTTGAGAAGTGAATTTTAACATGGGAATGCCGATAAATCTTTTAAACAACTTATACACCTCCAGGTGCTACTGGACCTGCTTAATCTCTTTAAACCTCCAGTAACTCCAACCATGGTGTTTAAAGTCTCATAAATCTGCACTAGCTTAAAATAGGGAAATATAAATCACGTTCAGAAGCTTAGGGGTAAGGACAGGAGACGGGCATCCCAATGCCGTTTAAAACCACAGCACAGGCTTTTCATCAAATTTTTCCAAGAAAAGTTAAAATGAAAAACATTCAGGTTTCTGGGTTGTGGTTTCATAAGTTCTCAATTTGTTCTTTTTCCTTTTTTTCAGGGCGGTGGGCTGGGGTCCAAAGGAGCATTGACTAGCTAGTCAGTTGGAAAGAAAAAAATTGCAAACACCCATCTCACTTAGTCCTTTTACACAAAATAAAACCTAAAATAAAAAATAATGACAAACTACTACCAGAAGTCATTAGAAAACAGCAATGTTTCCGGTAAAGCACCAACAAAAATAATGTCTGGTTTTTGTTAAATTGTTAATTTGTGCCAAAAAATAAAAGTTATAGATACTATTCTACTAATAATAGCTACCTTTTCTTTTTCATTCCTACCACATGCCCAGCACCTACCACTGAGCTGAGGACACACACAACCACCTCCTCCTCATCCCCCTGCTGCAAAGGCTGTCAGACTTTTTCTGGCTCCACATTCGTAATATTTCTCATTACAAGCAGTGATTCTCAATAGCTGTTCGAGAAGGTATTGGAGAAGCCACACTCTCCTAGAAAATCCAGGGGGTACATGAGAGATCCACCAGGGGAAGGCTTTTCTGTGTGAAGAGATTTGGGTACATTATCTAATTTTATCCTCACAGTGGCCCTGTGAGAAATATTATTATTATCTCTGTTTTACAGATGAAGAAGCTAAGGTTCAGACTGTTTAAGTAATTTAACCCAAGTAGCGTGGCTGGTAAATGATGGAGCAAAAATTCCAACCCTGAGTCTGCTTTGGAAGGCCTGATCTTATCCAAGCTGCCATCTACCTTCTGTGGGGCAATGGAACCAGACCACAGAGCATTTGGAAGAATCTCACATATCACACTCTAAGAATTGATATGTTTTCTGCTTCCTCTTTTCTGGCCCAGTCCAGTGATCTTTCAAACCCCAAAGTCTTAGAAAAATCCACTGTGTTAACTGACTCTTTACTGAAACTTCAGTCCTGTAGAGAAAATAAGAGTCTCCAGCTTGTGTCGCTTGCTTCAAGTTCCAGTTGGCCTGCAGGGATGTACCACCAAGTGATCCTGGGAAAACACTGGAACTTTCGTTTCCTTACCTACTAAATAGGGATCTATAAGACCTATCTTTGGGGTTGTTGTGAGGGTTAACATGTGGGAAGACCATCTGGAGCCTGCAAAGCCCAGGCAATTGCTGGGTCATGTGATGAGTATGGTGCCTGAAGTACAATAAAGAGGAAAAGCCTCCCTAAGGTCTGTCTTCACAGAGCAGATATTATGTGGAGGAGAGCACATCCAGCATCCAGCACAGCTCACAAATCTTGGCACAAGCCCCACTGCCTTGGATGTGAGGAGGAAGAAGTAAGAAGAGGAGGAAGTATCTCTCTCCTTTAGCAGCTCTCCAGCAATGTGTGTTTAATGATGCTAACTTATACTGGAGAATCGTCTTAGTTTGGGGTCTTCCAGAAGCCGACCTTGAAACAAGGATTTTAGAACAAGTGGTTTATTTGGGAGATAATCCAGGGAAATACCAGCAAGTGAGTGAGGAAGTGAGTCAGGGAAAGGAAGACAGCCAATAAAAAGTGGATTATTAAGCCAACTACAGAGGACAACTATAGCTTAATCCTGCAGAGAAACTCTGAGAAACTGTCTAAGACACACACCTCAGAATTATTCCACCCAAGGGATAACATCGTTGGGATATTTATACATCATCTCCCACCATTCATTGGTTGACAGATGCTCCTGGGGGATAGGGCAGTTAATTTTCCAGTGTTTCTGAACTGTCATGTGTTTTAAGGCCCATGACCCTCGAGGGTTCCAGGTAAAGTTCTCAAGCACCAAGATGCAAATCCTGGCAGATGGAAGATGTCTGGAAGACACTGAAATGGCAAGGCAGCCTGAGGGATATGTATTCAGTGTTTCTCACACTAGCTCCATATTTCCAGATGGGAAAAACCAAATTGGAAGGAAGTTAAACGTACCACTACTCACTGAGCAACTGTCCCAGGTATTTTTGAGGTGCAGGGTTGTGTTGCACATGAGCTTGAGTTCACAGTCCCATGCTAAGAAGATAACTGAGCTGAGGACACACACAACCACCCCCTACTGCCGTGGCTATCATACTTTTTCCTGGCTCCACATCAGTAATATTTCTCACTACAAAGGACGATTCTCAACAGCTGTTTGAGAAAGTATTGGAGAAGCCATATTCCCTTAGAGACTCCATGGGATACATCAGAATCCAAGGGCAGGGACAAAGTCTGTTTTTAAAATATATACTTACAACTGCCTCACTCCCTCACCATGCCAAGTCACTTGACACTAGGTTATTGCAAGGAGTGGTAATAGGAATATAGGATAAACTAATTCCTGATCAGATGCAGTAAGTCAATATCCTCTGAAACAAACAACTATTCAGCTAAAGGCATTGCCTCTTTTCTAAACCTTTACAAAAAGATACAGTGAGGCATCAAAGGAAGTAGTTTTAACTGTGTGCCAAGGATGGTTTGATTATTTCAGGAAGTTGGCAAAATACCAGAGTTTAGGAGAAGCTTCAAGCAGAGTTGTAAGTGGCTCAGTTTCTGCTGGTTCAGCATGAGACTCTCATCCAACGTCCAGTTAAGTTGGAAGTCAGAGGTCTCCTGCTTTGCTTCAAGGATCTGTTCCCTTATCCCCAAATCTCATCTCTACCCTGGCCCTTCCCTGAGCTCATCTATATTATAAAATGTTTACAGAGTGGTTAAATTGGAGTGATAATGCCAATAATTTATGCCAAAGCAATCTCAGTTACTTTGCCTCCATAATACTCCAAATTACAGGACCTGAATTATGCCTATGATCTGAACCTCTGTTTTGTCAGGTTATAAAAAAATGAGTTAAAGAGAAGGAAAGATAGTAGATGATTCCACCAGGTAAGCTGCGCTTCTTTCAATTTTACATCATGTGATTCTTTGGCTGTTAATGAAAGTCATCGTTGGTGCTTATAATTTTCCCTCTGAATGCCTAAGCATTTTATTATGGCTCACAACACCTCCCCTTCTACTGGAGGTCTTGGTTGCTGGACACAGCCTTAGAGAGGTCAGCAACAGTACTGCTTTACCAGATACTGACTTCTCCAATTGGAGCTTCTCCTTTTTGCAGCTCCTCTAAAAACAATGGCCTTCACATCATTTATGGCAGTGCTAGAAATACTTACAGGGGTGGGAGGGTGGCCTTCTCATAATCACTCTCTAAGGGCTTCAATCCATCTACCCTTTACCTCTGGGAAAAGAAGAAACTCAAGTCATCTTCCCTTCTCCCCGTGCCCCTTACTCTGTACCTCAACTTGATGGAGAGATTTCTCACACTGAGTGGGCATCACTTAGTAAAAGGTGGTGTCCTTCCTCTGCATTGTTGAAGATGCTGTCTGATTCTCAGTTCTCTTCTCTCATGCTTGCTGTGGTACTTTTATCACTTTTGGGATCTGTCCCATGAAGAAAGTCTCCTAACTTGGGCTTTGCTTGGGGGGAAAGAGAGGCACATGTAAGCCTCTGGCCTAGGCCACTCAACAAAGAGAGGCACTTAGCTTTCAGACACAAGCTCAATTAAGAGCTCCTTTCCTTTGTCATTGCTCCCTGTACATGTATGGATCATCCTTAGGAACTTTATGGAGAAGACAGAGAAGACTATGTCCCCTGCTTGGGGACATGATTTGACCATTTCCTGAAGTCTCCTGGCCTCCTCCTTTCTTGGCCCCATGTTTTCTATAAACATTTTCAAGGAGACAGAAAACATTATAAGAATGAAACAATTAATACCTGTTTACCCCATTCCTAATTCACCAGTTGTTCATCTTTTGCCACATTTGCTTATCTGTATGTGTGGTGTGTGTGCAATGTTTTTGTTTTTCTGTCTTTAAGTGTTCCAAACCATTTGAAAGTCATAGATATCAGAGCACTTTATCTCCAAATACTTCAGAAGGCATCTCCTAGGAATAAGGACATTATCCTGTTTTTATATAATGTATAGATATAACCACAATACTATTATTACACCTAAGAAAAGTAATAATAATTTCAGAATATCAGATATCCTCGGTTGTTTCAAGAATGCCTTTTATAGCTGTTTTCATTGTGCTAAAATACACACAACATAAAATGTACCATTTTAAACATTTTTAAATGTACAGTTCAGTGGCATTAAGTACAGTCACATTGTTGCACAACCATCACCACCATCCACCTCCAGAATTTTTTATCTACCCCACTGAAACTGCATCCAGTAGAATACTAACTCCTCAGCCCCTGGCAACGACCATTCTACTTTCTGTCTCTATAAATTTGACAACTCTGGTACTTCATGTAAATAGAATCACAACGTATTTGTGCTTTTGTGACTGACTTATTTCACTTAGCACAATGTCTTCTAGGTTTATCCATGTTGTGGCATGTGTTAGAATTTCCTCCCTTTTTAAAGCTGAATGATATCCCACTATGTGTATATGCCACATTTTGTTTATCCATTCATACATTGATGAATCTGTGGTTGCTTCTACTTTTTGGCTATTGTAAATAATGCTGCTATGAACAGGGGGGTACAAATATCTGTCTGAGTCCTTGAGTCCACTTCTTTTGGATGTGTATGCAGAAGTGGGATTGCTGGATCATATAGTAATTCTGTGGTTAATTTTTTGAAGAATAGCCATCCCATTTTTCACAGCAGCCATACCTTTTTACACACCCACCAGCAATGCACGAGGGTTCCAATTTCTCCACATCCTTACCAATACTTGTTATTTTTTGTTGCCTTTATTTTATTTTATTTTATTTTATTTTATGGATGGGGCTTGCTATGTTACCTATGTTGGAGTGCAGTGGCTATTCACAGGCATGATCATAACACACTGCAGCCTCTAACTCCTGGTCTCAAGGGATTCTTCCACCCAGCCTGTTGAGTAGCTGTGATCATTGCGCCTGGCACTTTCTTTTTATGATAGCCAACATAATGTGTTTGATCTCATTGTGGTTTTAATTTGCATTTCCCTCATAATTAGTCTTTTCTTGTGCTTATTGGCAAGTTGTACATCTTCTTTGGAGAAATGTCTATTCAAGTCCTTTCCCCATTTTTTAATCTTTTTTTTTATTTTGTGGGTGTTGAGTTGTAAAGATTCTTTACATATTATGAATATCAATTTGCAAATATTTTCTCCCATTCAGTGGTTTGCCTTTTCTCTGTGTTGATTATGTCCTTTGATGCAAAGAAGTATTTAATCTTGATGTAGCACAATTTATCTATTTTTTCTTTTCTGTGCTTTTGGTGGCAACTAGAAAATTTTAAATTACATGTAGCTGACATTACATTGCTATTGGACAGTTCTGGCCCAGAAGCTTGATTAGATTTAGGTTGATCAGTTTTGGCAAGAATACTTCATAGTCTGGACACAGTGGCTCATGCCTATAATCCCAGAACTTTCAGGCAGATTGCTTAAGCCCAGGAGTTCAAGACCAGCCTGTGCAACATGGTGAAACCCCATCACTACAAAAAATATATAAAAATTAGCCAGGTGTGGTGGAACACATCTGTAGTCCCAGCTACTAGGGAGGCTGAGGTGGGAGGATCACTTGAGACTGGGAGGTCAAAGCTGCAGTGAGCTATGATTGCATCGCTGCACTCTAAATTGGGCGACAGAGCATGACCCTATCTCAAAGAAAAAAAAAATAATACTTCATAGTTGATGATGTGTACTTCATAGTATATCACAGCAAGAGGTATATAATATCTAGTTGTCCTACTGTTAGTGATGCTAAATTTGGTCATGTGGTTAACTGCCAGATATCTGGATTATAAAATATATTTTCTCTTTGCAATTTCTAAATAATTTGTGAGATGATACTTTGGCACCAGAATACCATTTCAGATATTATCAAACCTTGACACTGGTTAGCCCTCTTAGAGAAATGTACAGAGCAAAATTAAGGAAAAGAGTCAATGAGTCGGATCCTAAATGCATGACCCTCCAGGAAGGCAGTTCAGATAACTCCCTGCCTTTGTATCCTGGCTTTTTGGTGGCTGCAACAGCCAGAGAACATGTCTTGCCTACCCCTTCTGCCTGTCCTTTTTCTTAGTAGCTGCTATGTAATCTGTAGCACTCTCTTGGGCCAGTCATTTCCATTGTAACTATAACTACAGCTTACCCAAGCCTTATTTTCTGTCTTGCTACTAGCAATAACCCAGGCTTGTGCTGTAGCCTCTGCTTCCACATTTCTGAGAGATCCCAAACGGAGCCTCTCATGCAGTGAAGAACCTGTCTCTTTTTCATCTCTTTTTCTTTCTGTGACTACATTAATGTCTGTGCTAATTAATAATATTAATATCTGTGCTACATTAATATTTGTGCTCTTGGAGCAACCAGAGCTGCAAACTCCCACGGTGCCAAAGTGGCCCTAGACTTCCCAGAGTGTTTTCTGGCTAAAACCATGCTGAGTCTACATGAAGTGGGAAAAAGTGTCTTATTCCTCCCCCTTAGGACACTTTCCCTCCAGGTGCCAATGCAGCACCTTTGCGCTCTTCTGTCTCACAACATTGGTTATGAAATCATATCCTTCAGTTTCTGCTTGACTTGCTAGAATTTGGCTCATCATAAATATCCAGGACAGACACCTTGTTGCCTCCTGATCCCCCTGTTCTCCCCAGGCATTTCAGCAAGAACACCTTCCCTCTTCTTTTAGCCAAATCAGCTCCTGGCACTCCACCTACTTTTCTTCAGAGGGATATAAATCCAGTTTAGGCTCCCAAAAGGGTAGCTAGTCTAATTCTCTATTACAGTACCTAAGTAGGAGAGAACACTCTCCTACTGGAATTTTCTTCAGTATGTTTATGTGATTGCAACCCCAAAAGGCTGATGATGTAATCAAAGGACTCCAGTTAGGTCCTAAGGTTTGCTCCCATTACAAGCAAAAAGAGATACTAGTAACCCTTCCAGAATAGCTCCATGAACCCAAGGATCCAAGAGATCAAATGAGGAAGTTAAGAATAAGCACAAGTGATGTAAAAATCTAAAACTATTTCTAGAGGAAAACATAGAAGAAAAGCTTTGCAATTTTGAGGCAGGCAAAGATTTCTTATTATGCAAAAAGCATGGACAATGAATCAAAAAGTTGATAAATTGGACTTCATTAAAATGTTGTTCTTTGCAAGACACTACTTTAAAAGATGAAAAGTTAGCCAGGCACAGTGGCTCATGCTTGTAATGTCAGCACTTTGGGAGGCCGAGGCAGGAGGATTTCTTGATCCCAGGAGTTTGAGAGCAGCCTCGGCAGCATGGCAAGACCCTGTCTCTACAGAAAAACAACAACAACAACAACAAAAAACCCTGGAGTGGTGGTGCACACCTGCATTCCCAGCTACTTGGGAGGCTGAGGTGGAAGGCTAGGAGAAAACATTTGTAATACACATATCTGGCAAAGGATATATATCCGGATAGAAAGAATTATTGCAATTCAATAATAAGAATCAAT